>NC_000007.14:114627991-114931021 GCF_000001405.40 Homo sapiens | reverse complement strand
CTGGTGCATATACATAGCACTGATTAAGACAGAAGGGCTGCAGCAACTTTCTTTGATCTACTCCAATGAATCACTGAAGTTAAATTGTCCAAAATCTAGAATCTAGTCAGTACAGAATGTATTCTCTTAATAAAAACTGAATGCTTTTAGAAGTAGAAACATAGAAATCACGATTTATCCTCTGCCTTTGTACAGAAAAATATTTACATTGTCTCAGAAAGATAATCTGGTTGAATTTTTTTTTATCTGTTCCATGTGTTGTTGTTCTAAATAACTTTGTATTTGCATATGGCCTAACTTTAGATGGTGTCAATTGATGTTTCCTCATTACTCCCAAACCTTTTATTATTATAGAAACATAATCCAATAAAATAATTGCACACTGTTATTAGGCCTTCTTTCCATGAAATCATCTCAACAAGATCCAGGAAACGAGGTTCAAAGAAACAGGAAAAGCCTTTACACACCCAAAAATTCCACAGCTTCCCTCATAGCCATGTAAAGGTCACTCAATCATATATATTAAATCCTCATATGTGAACTGACCAAACAAAGCAACAGCCACAATTTTTTTTCTCGCCAGAGGTCTTAGCCTGTCAATTGCATTTCTGGTCTCTGGATTCTCTTCCCAGCCTGGAATACAAGACCGGTTAACATAAACACTTCCCACACATGCGTGATATGCATCCCTTGTCACTTGTCATCCTCTCATCACTTCCACCCTGCCAACCTCCAACCCTATGCTAATTGCAAAATCCATTCTGTCTGCTTCCCTTCCCAAGCTCCTGCATGCTCCCTGGCTGAGAAAGACAATCAACCATGCTGATCACTTCCACTAAGAATTCATGCCATTCAGTCCTAGTTAATTTCTTTGTGTTACCCAGCAGGCATTTTATTTGCCCCAGATTGACTATCCCTTTAATTCTTCCCTCTTCCAAATCTTTTCCAGACATCTCAAACTTCTTGATTCATCCTAACCTCCTTTGCTCTCAGAAAATGTTACCATTTACTTTGCTGAGATCTAGGCCCTCAATATTCATTTTCACATCAAATGTTCTCTAGATTATCACCTATCCTTTTCTCCCACCTCCATCTCAAAGAGGAATATTCCCAACTTTCCAAAGACTGGTCCCTTCATCCCATTCCATCCCAGAATTTTTATCTTTCCCTTACAAACACCTACTGCACCACTTCCTCCCTCCTCCATCTCCTTTCATCTTCATTTTCTCTCTAACTTCCGGCTTTCTTCTCATTAGTGCACAGTGAGTGTATTCAATCCACCCATCCAAGCAAGAGAAGTCTTCCATGCACCCTGTTTCTCTTAAACAAACCAAAACTCTTTTCATCTTTTGTATCCACCAAATATCCAATGCTCCTGTGACTAAGAAGACTCAACAGCTCCTCCTAGGTTGCCACTCAGGCTACAAAGCAAACTTATGGATTACCTTAAATTTCTACTTTTCCACCATCTCCCTTATAAAATATTTTACCCAACCACCGGCTAGGCGAGAAAACTATCATTAAAGATGTTGTCTGATTGCCAAAATCCAGAGACACCATATCTATAGCAGGTCCCTTAACTGGCAGTCTATTAACTCCATTATAAAAAGGAATGGAAGCTGGGCACAGTGGCTCAAGCCTGTAATCCCAGAACTTTGGGAGGCTAAGGCAGGGGATCACAAGGTCAAGAGTTCGAGACCAACCTGGCCAATATGGTGAAACCCGTCTCTACTAAAAAATACAAAAAATTAGCCAGGTTTGGTGGCACACGCCTGTAGTCCCAGCTACCCAGGAGGCTGAGGCAGAAGAATCGCTTGAACCCGGGAGGTGGAAGTTGCAGTGAGCCGAGATCATGCCACTACACTCCAGCCTGGGCAACAGGGTAAGAATCCATCTCAAAATATATAGATAGATAGATGATAGATAGATAGATAGATCTATATTTATCTATAGATCTATATCTATATTTATCTATAGATCTATATCTATATTTTTTACCCAACCATATCATTTCATCAAAATGTGGACACTGTGCTTGGTCTCAGGAGTTTCAAAGATGAATAAGTAAAAATCTATTCCCTCAGGGGTTCTCACAGCTGAGTAAAGCTCTATCCTATTTTTGCTATTGTTTTTAAATCAATTTCCTCAATTTTACTCCTACTGGTGCTGCCCTAAGTCCTCTAATCTTTTGTCAGCCTATTATAATCACTGCCTCCACTCTTGCTTCTTCCTCCAAAACCATTCTATGAACTGTCACCAGAACAGTTTTCCTAAAAACACAAGTGGTTCCTGTCCTTTTCTTCTTAAGAGACTTCAGTGGTCACCAACTCCTACAGAAGAGATATGCAAGCTCCTCAGCAAGAGAATCAGGGCCCTCCTGAAACTGACTTTAGGCTATCTTGTTCTCCGACCCTTCATACAGCCCCAACAATGGTCTTGGTGAAGTACCCAATATTCTGTAATCATCTCCCCCAAGCCTTGTTTTCTACCACTTATCTCCACAGAACTGAGTCCTACAACCATGCTATGCTTCCTGGTCCAACTCAAATCAAAACTTTTCTTGAGGCTTTTCCAAATCCCCTACTAGAGATATTTTCTCTCGCCCATGTTCTGCCATCACACTTTCTTTGTGCCTCTACTATGGCACTGATTTCCTTAACATGCCAGCCACAGGCTCAGCATGTACCATGCTATTCCGTAGACCTTTTTTTTTTCACAGTTCTTAAACAGTTCAACCTCTCCAAATGCTTTCTTAAATTTACAGATATATCTTCTTTAACCACTTCCTTCCTCTGTTTTTAGTTTTTTCCCAGTTACATTCTTCTCTTACTCATTTGGTTCTTTTTCTTAACAAAGGGAAAATGAATATGCCCAGCTGATAAGCCCTCCACTTGTATAACTAAAATCATAAAATGTACATTAGTTCCTTTAGGCATAAAAAGTTAGAAGTATAAGTTCTAAGATTCATTTTCTAAATTCAAAATGTTCCCAAATCCTCTTTCAAATCTACATGCCCTTCTATATTTTTCTAATTAAGCTTGTCCTTCCTCAAGCATCTGTATTCAAAAAGTGTTTTAAACCAATTTCTATTCAGTTTAATTTTATTCTTGGTTATTTGTATTTGCTGCCAGTTTTATAATAGTATGTTTTCTGTGAGTTACCATTAAAAGCACACAAAATTTAATAAAACTTAATTCTAACAATCTTTTGACTTTTATTAGGGAACTAAATATAATTTATCCCTCTGTTTCTATGAGAAAGTAGAATCCAGGCTCTAAAAGTCCAATTTACAATGGAACACAACTCATGTGAAAACTGGAGATTTCTTTCCTTGTTTTGCCATATGTTGGAGTCTCCAAAGTGTAGGGTAGCAAGAATATCTACTGAAATAGTGAAATAAAGTATTAAAATTCTATTTATTTAGTCTCTCATCCTTATTAATTTTTACTTTTGCATTTCTTTTATATTGTTAAAAATATATTTGTATTATAGTGCATATAATTATGAAAATAAATAAGCTTTTTTGAGGATGACTATGCAGCAGTATTTTGAGGATGAATTGAAGCGTATGACAAAAAATCTTAGAGAGGATTATTAGAGAGTTTACATGGAGTGATAACAATTTAAATTTTGGAACTTGAAAAGGTGAACTTTTAAAAAGCTTTCTGAAGTCTTTCCCTCCAAAAAAAAAAAAAAGGACTGTTTTTAAAAGTCTATCACTATAACATATCCTTTTAGAGATTAAAGCCCATAAAACAATGATTCTCAACTAGAGTTAAGGAGCACCTGGAGCTTGATTAAAATGCAGATTCTTGGCTCTTACATCCAGAGATCCTAATTCTATAAGTCTGGGATGAAACCAAAAACGTCAGTTGCCTCAAGGATAGCAGTTTCTCAATCTCAACATTACTGGTGATTCTTTCTTGTAAAGGTTGTCCTATCCTATGCATTACAAAATGTTCAGGAGTGTCCCTGATCTCCACTCACTAGATGCTAGTAGCACCCCCATTACGACCACCAAACATGCCTGTAGATATTGCCAAATGTGTCCTGAAGAGCAAAATTGTCCCCAGTAGAGAACCAGGATTAGAAGCTGTTCAAAGATGACACATTTTGTGAAATGCCATCCTTAATCAAAAGGATAAAATAATATGATAAAAATAGAAGAATACAGATATGTACAAGTATACATTATATACATTGAAATAAACTGGCTTCCCAAAAAGAAAATCTGATTAGCCTCTATAAACTACTGACAACTCAGCTAAGCTTCTAAATCAAAGCTCTTCTTATGTAATTTCAACTTGATTTTCTCCCCAGCTTCTATTTTAGATTATTTTTAATTAACTTCACTGGCATTTTGCATCCTGCTAAGAAAAGTCCGCCTAATAGTCTCAAGAGGACTCTCCCAAGAGAGAAGAGTGCATTAAATCACACATTATCACATTAAAATATATTCTAGCACTCAGAGTCCAACGATCTACGTCTTGACAAATGCAATGTCTTGGGGGGTTGGGGGAAAGATACAGGGATGGGAACAAGCTCAAGTGATTCACAATATCCCAAGCCTATTGTCAATGCATCCAGCCCTATAAAAAAGTTGAACTGATTCTCTACTTCAACTGCATTTATCACAATGACATACAATTTATGTTATAATTTGTGCTTCTACCCTGATTTCTTGCTACTGACTGTGTATGAGACCTTGGGCAAGTCACTTAAATTCTTTGGACATCCTTTCCCTTATTTAAAAAATGAGCGGGTTGGATTAAATTATTTCTAAAGACCCCTCTAGTTACAAATCCCATACTTATGAAAGAAGCACTTAATTCAAAGGCTCTTTGGATTATAGGAGTTCTAGTAACTATTGCACCAAAGGGCAAATACTTACATTTTCAATGTGGTTCCATAACACGAATTTTAAAATGTTTAATCAAACCAGGACAAATGGCAATTACAGGGACCACACAAACAAGATCCATTATCTCTTAAAATAAAGTATAACTGAAATGGCTTTTCACCTATCAAGACATGTATACAAGTACTTTGCATGAGAAAGTAAATCAATATTTCACAAGGTAGTAACAAATAAGAATATAGCTTTAAATTACATGTTTACTTTCTATTTTCTGTATGAGAGATCACAAATTAGCTGCTCAGAGGCCATATCCAGCCTACAGTTGTGGTTGTTTTGTTTGGCCTGCACAAAATTGGTGTTTAATTAGTTGCAAACTCTTAAAAATGGAGAGATGATACATAAAAATCTGGATTTCCAGTATCACTTGAAATATCTGAAGATACTAACCCACATGGCAACAATTAGCTAAAACTGAGGAATGTTGTTTCCTGGCCCATGAGCTCTCCAGTTCCCCAAAATCCCCATTGCTCCATACTGTCTGACATCTATCCTGGTTCCCTCTTACAGCCTGGAGCATGTAAGCTTATGTCCCTGCTCTGTAACTATTTTCAAAACACATGGGAAAGATTTGTAATGCTTTTTAATGCTTTCAAAACAATAGAAAGCCTTGCAGAACCACAACAAAAAGGTAGAAACTTTAAGGAGGAAGAGTATGCTCTTAATATGGACAACCTTTCTAATTCTTAATGCTAATACTAGAATGGGCTTCACTACAGGTTTTTAACAAAACACCTAAAAGGATGTAGAATTGAATTTTAGACTTGATGTGGAGTTCAGATTAGAGAATCCCCAAAATTACTTTCAACTGTAATGTTTCATGCCTTTGGTTAACAGTATGGATAGCTCATCACAATATAGTATAGTAATAAATGTAGAGCTTGTAATGTCATTATTTACCTATATATATATATTTAACTTTGCAGGGGTAGACTTGATCATATCCTTCATGTTCCTGAAATAATATTTTTTTCTGTTAATTTGTATTTAAAATTCCACTTTTCTTACTGACTTTAATATAAAGAATTTAAAAATTAGGTTTCTGTTAACTAAGCAGCCATATCCTACCGTAGAATTATTAAGCTATTCTTCAGAAAGGATGATAAAGAATCCAAGGACAGAAGCAAGAGGATAAAAGAACTTGAGAAAAGGCTTAAGAGTAGAGTGGCCTTCGAGCAAAGCTTCTTCACAAATGTCTTTATCAATAAAACCAACCTAACCAAGCTTCCCTTGAAGCTTTCCTCTAACCATTTGCTCCAAGAATTTCTTTCTTTAAATACACCTTATGACATCTGCCTGTTTAAGACATCATATTTTAACAAGATTCTGCAGACTCTCTTTTTAAAAATCAACTTTATATTTAAATTAAACTGATCCCTATTTAAAGAAAGTTTTGGATCAAAGTTAAACTAATAATAATAAAAATGTATAACTATGTTGCTAAAGCTAAGGCAATTTTCAGGTAAAATATAACCCAAGAGTTTCTACACTGATAACGTGTGTTGTACCCAACAAATGTACTTCAGGCCACTCTAGATTTTCGGGTTCTTAAGTTCAGATCACATGACACCATCCAGCATCCTAATGCACAGGTACATTAAGTACCACTGCACATTCTCCCAGATGATTTTAGAAATGCAAACTATTAAAGTTGGATATTGTAGATATTAGCTATTTCCAGGTCAAATTATTTTCCTTGGGTGTTTGATGTTGATTTTTGACATAAGCCTGGTTTAACAATTGTGATTAGCAGCTCAAGTGTGAGCATAAACAGCCCATCAATGAGTCGATATGACTACTAAGGGCATGCCTAATGACAGGAAAATGATTGTGCTGACAATACAAGGTGGAGAACACGGGCTGCTTCTCAGAAAACATATGTTTATCATTCTAGTTCTCTGATTTTCTGCAGTTAATCATTTTTATTTTCTGTTTAGAAAGCTGAGTCACTCATTTAGAGGCAAAAAATAATGATAAATGTAATTCAGTTTAACAGCCCTGGGTGCCAGAACATTTTAATTTAACCAAGATGTTTTCTGCTTTTACCTATTGCAGCTTGAAAGTTAACTCCTTCTCCAATTTTTGCTGCCTTAAAAAAAATCCCTAAGATTCACTACATTAGTACAAGTGGGAAATAAAGCTATCAGTTTATGCCTAAAATCAGGGGTATATGCTAGGTTTTTGAGCACTGGAAAAATTACTTAGTTCTGATATATCAGTGACAGAATTCTTTAGCTCAAAACCATCCTTAGAGTAAAATGCATTAGAAGTTTAAGAACCTTCCTCTCTGTCACCAATGGAAACCTAAAGTATATTGCCTTCAAGAGAAGAAAGGTTCAACTCGTTTAGAAGCTTGTTATGGAAGTTTCCCAGACACAAGAGTATTTTATAGGCTGTGTGTGTTTACACTTTGGAAGAACACAAAGAAGCTAATTCATTCTTGGAAAGTGTTTCTTATAAACCTTGTTTATTTATTTCAAAACAAACCAGTTATTGAAAACAAGCATAAGCCATTCCAAAGCTACTGGTCACAGAAACCTGAATTATCAACCGGGTGGTAGAGGAGCCAACAAGAAACAGAAAGATGAAATGGAGTAAGTGCACGCTTGTTCAGAGAGCTGCGGCAGTCCTGGATCTGCTGAAGAGACCTAGAGGAGAAGCGCTTCAGAACCTACACATTGAGTCTTAGGCCCAAACATGCATATGCTTAAGAAAGAAGCAATCCTGTCATCCTGTTTCTTCGCAACCAAAGGAAGGGGGAGTGGAGGGACCAACGGTTCCCGCCCTCTTACCCGGTTGTTGATCTAGGGCAAGGATCCTGAAGAACTTGCCTGAGTAACGCGAACTGTGCAAAAGTTCTCAACTACGAGTGGGAGCCCCTCCTCACAGCACTCCCCCCACCCCTATCTGTGCACTTGTGAGCAAACTGAAAAATGCAACAATGACAAAGAAGCTTGCCACTTGCAAGCGCGCACTCACCCTGGGCTGTGGAGCCCAGCTGGCCGCCGCCCGCCTCGGCCACGCGCTGCGGCCCCACGGGCCCGGGAGCGAGGGCTTCGCCCGCGCCGGACATGGGCCGCTCCGCCGAGCCCGCGCCGCGCCGCTGCCGCCTAGCTCGCCGCCCGGCAGGGCGCACGGAGGAAGGGCTGTGAGGTGCTGGGTGCAGGGAACTGACTGCTTCTGGCGGAAAAATATACAAAATTAAAAAAAAAAATGTTTTTAGAGAAGAGCACACCACCCCTGCGGGACGTTCCCTCCCCCTCCACTTCCCTCCCTCAAACTCCACCCCGGGGAAGTTTTGATTTGAAACTTGCGAAGAAAACTGTTACAGCGCAAGTTGACAGCGGCGGGGTCCCAGGGGTCCGAGGTGGACCCAGCGGGGAGGGGCTGGAAAGAGAGATCGGGTTTGGGAGAACCCCGGGGATGGGGATCAAACCCCTCCTCTTCCCCGCCCGGAGACCACTACCTACCTCCGCATCCCCCCGTAGTCGCTCCAAGCCCCTTCCTCCTCCTCCTCCTCCTCTTCCGCCCCGGAAAGTTAGCGAGCCTCCGGCAGCGGCCGCATTTTCGCCCCGGTGGCCTGACGACGGCGGCGGCCGCCCCTGCGCGTCCTCCCGCCTCCCTCCGGCTCAGCCCAGACGCCGCAGTGGCGGCAACTGCGGCAGCGGTGGCGGCTCTGACTCCGCGCACTCCGCCCCCTCTTTCCAGCCAGCTCACTCCAGCCGGCTCCCCTGCGAGGGGGCCTTCCCCCTCTCTGCCTCTCTTTCCCCTCTTCCACTCCTACAATCCTGAAACACTTCTCCCTCTGTTGCTCTTTTTCATCACATCCGGATCGGGAAGGCCTCGAACTCTTGGCTAGCGGCCCCGATGCTGGGAGCGGCGCGACCCGGGCTCGGCCGCGCGATCCCTCGCGCCCTGCGCTGTCTGGGTCAGGAGGCCAGAGCCGGCCTGGGCTGGCTCGGGCTCCCCACCCGGGCGCTGCGCCCTCCCGGGGCTGGGAAAGGGGAGTGAATGGGCAGGTCCCTGGCTGCCCAGACGTTCCCCCCACCCCGCCCAAAAAGTCACCTCATCCCTTCTCCCTACTCCTGCCCCCAGACCGACGGAGGCTTTGGGAATATCCTGACGAAAACCTTTAGGGTGGACAAGGAAAAACGAAAACACTGTTACAGTATCGAACTTTCCTGGTGGGATAGAGAACGTGTGCGTTTGAAACCTTGACCCCTCGGTTGAACGTTTACTCACTTCATCTCTGGCTCCTAAATTACTCTTTGGTCAAACAGTATTCCTGATGTAAAACCAGTTGCAGTTTGCGCGAATCTGCTGGAGGCATCCAGGCAAACAAGGTTGGCACCCTTGCGGATGCCGTGGTACTGGCCCCAGCCTGGCCTATGGCAAGCTAAATGCCTCACTGGATCAGTGGTATCTGAGGGGAGATAAACTTGTGGTCGGAAGTAAAAAGCTGATCAACTTTCCGTTTATAAATGAGACATTCTGATTGTAGCTTAATCTGATGAGCCGAGGATAGCAAGTGTAAAGTAATTTACAGATATATAGTACTTTAGTGGTATACTCAGATAACTTTTGCTCTTTTATTTCATTGTGAATGAAATGCAGAATTCATTTGTAGAAAGCTAGAACGAACTCATTCTTCGATTCTTTTGGACAAGCGAGGAATCACAGTAACGTTATCAAAACTGAAGAAAATGTGCATTGGATTCACTGTCTTTCTATGTGCATCATTAATAATATCCCAGAAATTTCATTTTTTCAAAAAGCTCATTGGAATTTATTCCAATTGATTACAAAGATTTACTTGTTACCTATGAAGAGACAGTGCATTCTAACTTGATTTCAATGATGGTAAAAAAGCCAGCCTTCGGCCGGGAGCGGTGGCTCACGCCTGTAATCCCAGCACTTTGGGAGGCCGAGGCAGGTGGATCACCTGAGGTCAAGAGTTCGAGACCAGCCTGGCCAACATGGTGAAACCCAATCTCTACTAAAAATACAAATATTAGCTGAGCATTGTGGCGGGCGCCAGTAATTCTAGCTACTGGGAGGCTGAAGCAGGAGAATCGCTTGAACACAGGAGGCAAAGGTTGCAGTGAGAAGAAATTGTGCCATTGCACTCCAGCCTGGGCGACAAGAGCAAGACTCCATTTAAAAAAAAAAAAAAAAAAAAAAAAACAGCCTTCAAAGTTGCTGATGACAGTCATTCAGACCATTCTCCCCAAAAAGACAAATGACATTTTGCCCCATTACACATAACTAACATTTTTTTTTCACTTGGAGATTTCAGAAATGGTATGAAATCAAGTGCATTACCTCTCTTGAAAACTTATCTAGGAGCCTGGACTGTTTGGAATTTGTCTGATGGAAGCAGATCAGTTCTGAAGATGACTTCATCACCACTAGAGAACAAACATTTAGGACGTCTCAGAGTTCACTGCAGCATCATCTGCACTCAAAGGAGTTGTTTACCTGCTCTGGAAAATTCTGTTTTATCCCTGTATCATTCCTTGCCCTATTTTTAAAATTCTCTCACAAAGATGTTAAAGTCCAATAATATAAAGAAGTTACAGCTTTCTTCTAGAAAGTCATAATCAATGATAAGTATTTGTTCATTTAATTTCACACAGTCCTTAATATTGCACACGTGGTGGGTGATTCCATAGATATTCCTTAAATTAAATTTTAAAATCTTTAATGGAGAAGACATAAAATTAAAATAACATTAGGAGCAAATGAGAAGCTGTAGGGTAGCATCACCAAGGTTGTCAAATACTGTACCTCATTCAGCTGTGTGACTTTGGACAGTTAGTCACCCACTCTATACCTTGGTTGCCTCATAATATGAGAATGAAATTCTTCATAGAGTTTCTTTTTGAGCACTAAGTAAGGTAGTTTTCCTATAAAATTTGGAAGACTCTCAAGGGAAAAGGTGTTCAAAAGTATCAACTATTATTACTATTATACACGGAAGCATCTTGATGGGTAAAGCTGAGCATGGCATAATGACTGTATCAAAAGGGTCATATCAAAATACCAGTTTGTCATGCCATGCACCTGACGCAAATGATCTCAATGAATTCTTCCATCGGCCCTATAAGTAAATTGCCAGGATTGTACCTTCAGGATTAGAACTCAGGTCTGTCTCTCTTCCAGGCTATCCTGCATCCCTAGGTAACTCAGGTCTTCCTTCTGGAGGACCTAGAAGTGGTCTTAATGCCATTAACCTGGTGTCTGATATGCCAGAAGTTAAGTGTGGGCTCCTGAGTGTCCCTCACGCCTCCCATTTCCCACATCCCTGGCTGCACTTGCTTGTTCTGATTGCTTCATTTGTTTACTGACAAGCACTCCAGTACGTTCATCTCTCATTCTTTCACTCAGTGTCACGAACTGAAAGTTTGTGTTTCCCCAAAATTCATATGCTAAAATCTTAGCCCCTAATGTCATGGTGTTAGTAAGTGGGGCCTTTGGGAGGTAGTTAGGTCATAAGAGTGGAGCCCTCATGAATGGAATTAATGTCCTTACAAAAAGACACAAGAGGCCAGGTGTGGTGGCTCACACTGAGGCAGGGAGATCTTTTGAGGCCAGCACTCTAGGACCAGCCTGGGCAACATAGAAAGACCCCATCTCTACAAAATTGTTTTTAAAAAATTAGCAGGGCATAGTGGCATACTCCTGTAGCCAGCCACTCTAGAGGCTGAAGCGGGAGGATCACTTAATCCCAAGAGTTGGAGGTTACTGTGAGCTATGTGGGCCACTGCACTCCAGCTTCGGCAACAGAGCAAGACCCTGTCTCTTAAAAAAAAAAAAAAAAAAAAAAAGACATACAAGTGTTTCCCAAGGCTCCACCTTTTAATACCATCACCTTGGTGATTAAGATTCAACATATGAATGTTGGGGGACTACAAACATTCAGACTATAGCAGGGGGAGACATATTTTCTAAATTACTGTTTATAAAAGCCACTCTGGTATTATGCGTAAAATTGTTTGGAGGACTGAGAGTGGATCTAGGGAGTCCAATTTGGAGGCCAGGGCTGATGGCTGGCAGAAGGAATGGAGCCAAGTAGATAGGGATAAAGGATGAGGAAGCTAGAGGAATCGAGAGCAACTACCAGCTTTCTGCATCCAGGTTGATGGTGGTGGTATGACCTACAGAGATGAAAACATTCAGGAGAGGCCAGTTTTGGGGAAAGCTGCTGAGCTAATCATGCAAATGATGCAGCATGTGTGAGACAGCTAATTGGAACTGTCCTGCATAGGCTGCTGGACATGGGACTGGATTATAAGCATATACATGGTACTTTGCTGACTAGCAGGTTATAAGAATGTCCAAGGCAAGTGTGCAGAGTAAAAGCAGAAGCCCTGAGACGCAGCTGTGCCTTGGAACTCAATCCACGTGTATCCTTACTGGCCTCTCTCCTTTTCTCCACATCCTTCCCAGTGACATAATACCATTATCAGCTTGGCTTGGAGAACCACTACTGTTTAAGTACTACTACTGTCAGTGTCCCACTTGCTACCCCAGATCCCCCTGGGTTGTCTTTATTAAGCTAGATTTTGCCATGTCTTAAGCTATCTTAATCTGCGTAGGTGGAAATTCTTTAGGGGTATCAGCCTGCCGGTGGAACTCAATGTCCTAGCCCCGGATCAAAGCCCCTTGCCTTTGAAATTCTTGTGTGCCTTACAACCATTCCTGCCTAGTGATGTGTACACTAATGATGATATAATAATATGTGAACACATTGTGAAAGAGGTCTGACATGAGCTAAGCAAATAAAATAAAGAACTAATTAAAAGAGTTTATAAAGCATCCTTATGGACTACTTAATCTTCATCATTCATTCATTAAACATTCATCAAACATTTATTGTGCATCTACTATATGCTAGGCCACATATTAGGCTCTGGAGATAAAGAAATTTGATTTGATGTCTTGAAAAGCAGCTAAATTAGTTTTCACTTGGGCAGAGGCTTATTTGCCTAGTAAAGTCAAAATTAATCCCCATACACAGATATCTAAACCAGAGGTCTACAACTGGGGTGTGTAATTGTAAGGGCATTCCAAGGGATGCATAAGACAATCTACTGAAATGTGGGCAGAAAATATCAGAGTGAGCATTTATATATGTTTTTATGTTATAATTTTTAATTTCTACTTTTGAGTATGTTTTTATACAGTGTATTGCACATTCTTACAAAAGTACTTGGGTATGATTTATAAGTAAACATACATTAAAGGTTCACATTCAAATACTTTGTTTCTTTGTTTAGAAAAAAAACTTTTTAAATGCTTTGAATCCTTTAAGGAGTCATTCCCAGATTATATCAAGGATAGTTTTTCTGGAAAATATATTTACCTAATTTATGTTAGAAGCAGCACTTTGGCAATCCCCAAACCCAATGACCTAGAAACCAGGAAATAACAGCAACATACTAAATACCTAAAATAACCTTCATGATGTTCAGAAACTGCCAACACAAAAGACATAATCCTTCTCAAATCCTACTTGTTCTTTTGTGAATACACACCTCTAATCAAACTTTATTTTCTACTGTTTCAGCTCACATTGTTTTAGAAGAAGAAAACTTAGGGCGCAGGAAGATTGAGGAGAAGGGATTAGCTAAGGGAGCTATTAGGTCAGAAAAACTGACAGCAGGAGAGATGACAGCTGACAGACAAGGAAGATACAGGAAAATAAACATGTTGTAACAACGCCTTTGTGAATTCAGCTTCGTGAAATAGTCAATGTTCCTAATGAGCCTGAGTCATTAAGGAAAGAGTCAGTTAGTTATGTGAGTGCTATATTCTGTTTTTAGGGGGTCGGGTCAATCTTTTTACATTCCAGGAAAAACTCTTTCAAACATGTTCAAAAATTCCTTTAAAAAAAGGTTGCTACTTGAAAGAGTAAATTCCACAGAATGACAATTTTACAGCTGCAAGGGAAATTAGCAATCACAATTCCAGGCCAAGCTGTATGGATCGCATTCCTCCACCTCCTAGTACTGTGTCAGGTGCAATCAGGTGCAGGGAAGGTCAGGTGCGCAGGTTTCTGGAACCCTGCTCTTAGAGTAGAGCACTTTCTTCCTTTTCTCCATAATGTATTAGTCCTTCTCTTAAATTTTAACTGAAACAACTGGTTCTTCCGCTTTTTAAAAGTTTAAAAATCACCAGTCTTACCCAACTCCTTCATTTAACATATAGAAAAATACAAAGACATAAAGTTTACTTACTAGGTTCAACAAACATATGTTGAACATTTACTACATGTCAAACCACATGCCAGACACTAGAGTTTCAAGTATAGAAGAAATACTGTTTTAGTCTTCTGGGAGTTCATAGTCTATAAGGCCAGAGGCAGAAGAAGGCAGCAATGTAGCAGCAGAACAGTCACAAACACTTACCATACTGCAGGAGCAAAAAGGAAGTAGCACTTACCTAACTCAGCTCAGGCGTAGGTGGGGAGAGTCAGGGTACATTTCAGAAAGACGATAATACCAAACTGAGTATTGTCGATGAGTAAATTTGCCTGTCAAAGAAGTTAGGGAATTCCAGATGGAAATAACACTTACAAAGACAAAGAAATGTGAAAGCCCCAGAGAAGTTAAATGACTTGGCAAAGGTCAGTTCGTGGATTAATTACAGAGCCAGTCTTAGGAGCCTAAATTTCTTGTCATCCAGGCTTCTTGCTCCAGCTATCTGGATAATGCACGTAAATGAATCCATCATTTCTAAGTGATGGCGAAGTAAGGTCATGCCTGTTGTTATATTTTGAAGTTCCAAAGATTTTCTGTTGTGAATGGGTAACCAAAGAACCAGGCATAAAATCTCTTGTTGCTGAATTAGTCCTCTCCAAGGTCTCAGTTAGTGTCCCTTTCAGTTGGCTGACTTCTCTGGCCTGGGGCACTGGCCTTCAGGGTCTCTCCTTGCTGTCACTGTACTTTCCTTCTTGTGTTTTAAAGGAAGGGAGGGAGATGTTAAGGCATACAGTGGTACTTGTCAGATAAAAGCAACATGACTGAAGACAGAAATGAAAATGGCCATAACATATGCAGTAGACAATAAGTAGACATTTGCTTCATACTTAGAAACTGAACCTAGATATACCAGGAGAATGAAAATTGTGGAAAATTTTAAATACAAGGAGCTCCTGAAAATAATGACTGATCTGCTGAAACTGCAGTTGAAAATAATGTTAGCATGATGATCATGACAAAAATGTTTAAAATGGTGTAGAAGATGAGGATTCTTTTGTTACTATAACCCCTAAACTCATTTAAATTCTCAGATAAAGAAAGAAAATATCAACTGTGACATTTGAATCAGTGCCCGTATTTCTCCAAATTTTGTATTAAGAAATACATGCTAAATCTAAAAAGCAGGATTGCAACAAAACTACAGTCATGAGCAATATAACAATGTTTCAATCAACAATGGATGGCATATATGACAGTGGTCCCATAAGATTGTAACAGAGCTGCCTTATGCAGGCATACCGTTTTTTATCTTTTACGCCATATTTTTACTCTACCTTTTTTTTTTGTTTAGATATACAGATACTTACCATTGTGTTACAATAGCCCACAGTTCTCAGTAGAGTAGCATGTTGTACAGGTTTCTTTGTTTCTCTTTTTTTTTTTTTTTTTTTTTTTTTGATGGAGTCTTGCTCAGTCCCCCAGGTTGGAGTGCAGTGGCATGATCTCGGCTCACTGCAACCTCTGCCTCCCAGATTCAAGCAACTCCCTGCCTCAGCCTCCCAAGTAGCTAAGATTACAGATGTCTGCCACCACGCCCAGCTAATTTTTGTATTTTTAGTAGAGACGGGGTTTCACCACCTTGGCCAGGCTGGTCTTGAACCCTTGACCTCGTGATCCACCTGCCTCAGCCTCCCAAAGTGCTGGGATTACAGGCGTGAGCCACCATGCCTGGCCTGTTGTACAGGTTTATAGCCCAGGAACAGTAGACTATACCATACCACCTAAGGGTGTAGTAGGCTATATCATCTAGGTTTGTTGAAGTACACTCTATGATGCTCACACAACAATGAAATCAACCAGTGACACATGTCTCAGGACATACCCCCATCAATTAAGCTATGCATGACTGTATATTGTTCACCCAAGCATGGGACCTATAATGAACTCCGGGAAAAAGTGAAGGTTTCCTGAATATCCTTCCACCTCCCATCCTTCTTCTCTCTCCTACTTCGAACAGCCCATCTGTCACCCCGGCACTTGCAGCTCTATATTCTTTTCTTGTTACCATAGGTTCTCAACTTTAGACAGTGTGCAAATCTGGGCCAAGCATTATACGGAATAAATTTGATTTTACATGTTAAATACAAGTATATGAATAACTCATGATCTTCTTAATTCTACCCCCAACAGTTACGTCTCTATCTTCACAGACCCTCAAAAATGAACTTAGGACCACAAGGAGACATAGACAGGTTATTTCTTGCCACACTATTTGTATAGCAGGGAGCTGAAGTCAACCTAGGCAGCCATCCTTTGGAAATCAGAAAGTTGATTATGTAGACGAAGAGCATGGGGTATTGTGTAGCTATTAGAAGGAACAGATGATAAACACATGTAGAAACAAAATAGATCTAAAAATGATACTTAGTGAAACATGTAAGAAGCAAAATGTAATTTTTGTTCAGAACCAATTAATAACTAAAAATACGTGCAGGGAAAACAGAGCACATTTTATAAGAACACACACAAACAAGGACGTACATAAACATCTGAGAATGCTAACCTATGAGGAGACAAAGAAGAGAATTGAGACTGGGAATTAGGGAGAACAAATAAATACATGCAGACAAACATAGGCATAAAAAGGGAGGCCTTGCACAGACCAGTGAAGGTAATGTACCATATACCAAGGTGCTGATTAACTCAACTCTGCTCTAGGGCTTCAAAATAATGACTATGACCATCATTATGACAACTTTTACTACTACTGCTACCACCATCACTGCCAAAAATAATCATCATCATAATAAAAGTGTTACATGAATTTGTATTGATAGATTATCAGGCAATGTAATAAAATTATCAGAAGAAATGAAGATGTTGTAGGGATATATACTGGGGGAGGAGTACCTTACACATATCCCTAAAATACCTAAAATTAGGTAGAAGGGACTACTTAGTTTGGCTGTGTTTAAGATCAGCAGCACTGGAAAATTTTGGTTGAAACAGCAAATCTATACAAAGGTGAGGTTTTTGTTTGTTTGTTTGTTTGTTTTACCTAAGCTCTCCCAGGTTGAGCATCCCTAATCCAAAAATTTGAAATCCAAAATGCTCCAAAATCCAAAGAACCGACATGACACCACAGTGGAAAATTTCACACCTGAGCTCATGTGACAGGTCACATATATTATTAAAATTATTATATAAAATTCTCTTCAGGCTACATGTATGAGGTCTTTATAAAACATAAATGAATTTCATATTAAGACTCAGGTCCCAGCCCCAAGATATCCATGATGTATATGCAAATATTCCAATATCTGAAAAAATCCAAAATTCAAAATCTTTTTGGTCCCAAACATTTTGAATAAGGGATACTCAATCTGTATAGACTGTTGTAGTGAGCTGAATGGTGGCTCATTAAAAGATATGTCCATGTCCTAATACTCAGAACCCGTGAATGTTACCTGTTTGGGTAAAGAGTCTTTGCAGATGTAATTAAGGTAAATATTGTGAGATGAAGAGATACTCCTGGATTATCCAGGTAGGCCCTAATTTCAATGGCAACTATCCTTATAAGCAACACACAGAGGAGAAGACAGACATAGAGGAGAAGGTGACATAAAGATGGACACAGAGGTTAGAGTTAAATGGCCACAAGCAGAAGAAGCTGTCCCACCATCAGAAATCAGAAGAGTCATGGAGTGGATTCTCCCCTAGGGCCTCCAGATGGAGGATGGCCTTTCAACACCTCAATTTCAGACTTCTGGTCTCTATGATTGGGAGAATAATATTTTGTTCTTTTAAACTACAAATTTTGGGGGTAATTTGGTACAGTGGCCACAGGAAACCAATACAACTTGTCTTTAGGAACAGTGAAATTGAGACGATTTAGGCTCAGTGTGCTAACGTTAAGTATTCAAATTTTGCTGTTCTCTCCCTATCAAGAAGAAACGCAATCTTACTCTTGAATTCCTGAAGGAACTCAGTTCTTTCATCAAAAAAACCTTTTTTTGAGGATGACATATGTCTGTCCCAATACCTCTGCAGCTCCAGTCCATCTCTTAGCATTCATTATAATCACTCCCATATACAGAGTCCCTTAAAATGTACACTTTTTTTTAACCACACATCACTCAATTTTATCATTGGGATAACTCTGTGTAACTGGTATTAAATGTATTGTCATCTCCACTCTATAAGTTAAAAAGCTTGGACTTTAACTGAAATTCGCATCTAATTATTCATCAGATATATATTGAGTGCTTGCTGTACACCAGACTTCCTGTTAGGTCCTAGCAATACATTTGTTCAACAACAGAGATTCATTGCTTTGCAAACACTGGAATAAAATGGGAAAGAAAGCTGATGTGTTCTGGCTCTATAAAGTTTAGTCATGAGGCAGATAGACATTAATCAAGTAATCACACATGCAAATATATAAGCACAAATAGCGTTTAGTGATGAAAATGATGGAATGCTATGAGAGTGTGTAGGAGGCACATAGAATTAGAGACAAAGGACCGGGCGCTGTAGCTCATGCCTGTAATCCCAGCACTTTGGGAGGCCAAGGTGGATGGATCACTTGGGGTTGGGAGTTTGAGATGAGCCTGGCCAACATGGTGAAACCCCGTCTGTACTAAAAATACAAAAATTAGCCAGGTGTGGTGGCATGTGCCTGTAATCCCAGCTACTCGAGAGGCAGAGTCAGGAGAATCGCTTGAACCTGGGAGGCAGAGGTTGCAGTGAGCCAAGATAGCACCAATGCACTCCAACCTGGGCAAGAATGAGATTCTGTCTCAAAAATAAATAAATAAATAAATAAATAAATAAATAAGAGACAAAGTCCCTGCTCTAACAGAACTTAAAAGTAGAGTAGGGGAAAGGGCCAAGTAAAGAGAAGATTAAGATATAAAGAGAAGATTAAAATAAGATTTTCATCTTAAAAAAGATCTTCATGGAAGATTCACACTATGAGGTAGGAGTTAGGTTCTGCGGAAGGAAGGAAGAGGCAGAACGAAACCCAACCTGAAGAGAAAGGAATTTGAGAAGTAAAATGGGTTTGGAGAAGACACCCTGGTTGAGTAGGAGTTAATCATGGAAAGAAGGAAAGGACGGGAAAATAATGCAGCATGTGCAAAGATACAGAAGACAGAAGCAAGACATTCAGAGAACAAATCTCATGGCTGCTCTGTTGTATTTCTTAAAACGCGTATCAAAATAGGGCATTTATACATTCCAGAAGTTTTTAGTTCATCTCAGTATTCTATTATAGGGCTTTACTCCCTAACAATGAGACCGTTCATGCAATTTCCCTTTAAGTGATCAGACAAAAACCCATTTGAAGTATGTCCAAGATACCTTTGGCTGCATGTTGCTGGCAAAAATTCACATGATAGAAAAAAAAAAAAAACAGTATTCTTAGAAGGCTCACTTGCATTAACATTATAAACTGCACCACCAATATTAGAATAGTGTTGCTTCACTTCATAGGTTCCATAGTGTTGTTAAAGTGTGACCTCGGCTAGAGGCCCTTGGTCCATCTCTTTTTATCCTATATTCTTTTTTATCTTTTAGTTTCTGAAGAGCAGACAAATCTCTTCTGGGTCTCTCAGTAACCAAGAAGCTGGTATTTTGAAAGCCCACTAATGAGTAAGAGATAATTTTTTAAACAAAAGAAAGAGAATGGTGCTTATAAAGATATAATTATTAAACTATGTCAAAAGAAATATATAAGCCATGTAAAACATAAACATAAATGCCAAAGATTATAAAAAGGTAAGGTTGAAACTAACCATTACAAAATGAAACCATTCAATTTACAATTGTTGGAATGACTCTAGAATATCTCATTTGGTATGCACTCAGACCTACAGTACTCTTCTCTTAGATACTGACTGACGGACATTGTCTGTGATTGCTCAATGTTACAGACACTAAGTCTCTTTCATACAAAGGAGCTGATGCTTTCAACACCAGACAGAAGCAGCTTCTTACGGCCACCCAGATTTTTTCCTTCTGATAAATTAGTCCTTGAAGAGGGTCTGAAATTTTCTTAGTATCACTTTTGTAAAGGCATTTAAAAAATTAAGTGTAATTTTCAAAAGTAAGGCTTCAAAACAAGGCTATGGAGATTTTTTTTTTTTTTTTTTTTTTTTTTGAGACGGAGTCTCCCTCTGTCACCCAGGCTGGAGTGCAGTGGCGCGATCTCGGCTCACTGCAAGCTCCGCCTCCTGGGTTCACGCCATTCTCCTTCCTCAGCCTCCCGAGCAGCTGGGACTACAGGCGCACACCACCACGCCCGGCTAATTTTTTGTATTTTTAGTAGAGACGGGAAGGATTTTTAACTCAAATTGTGATTCTGATTTTTAGTTTAGCATAAGGAATATAAATCACTTTCTTTCTTCAGCTTTGCTAAAGTCACGCTTTCCGAGACTCAATGATTTTTATATCAAGGAGCCACATCCCTCTCCCAGTCCCTCTCCCCACTCAGTATAGACAATGGGGCAACAGAGAAAGAGAAGACTTTTGATTAATCAGAGAATCCTAAACCTTAATCCAAGAGTAAACGGAAATATTATAGCAAAACAATCAGCAGTTTCAGATATTTCCTTAGTGGCATTTGACCCAAAGCAACAGATATATGAAAAATAGCACATATTTAAATGAGACAAAATGAACAACATTCATCTTTTTGTCTCTGGTGAACATAACGTCATTCTTTGATTTCTTAAAATTCTTCCAAAAACTGATAACCTCTACTTAAAAGAATCTTGCTTTCAGGATTATGGATAACATGAAAGCTTAACTAATATAGTTAATATATTAATAAAAACGTTTACCTATCTATGAACATGTAGTTTTCTATTCCAATAGAAGACAAATGGAAATTTCCAAATATTGTATAAAAGATATACTTTTTTAATATTAGAAAGATTTTCAAATTATTTTGTTATCCTACATATTTTAAGTGCATAATAGTATTGCAATTAATAAATTCTTTAAAAATCAATACTTTTTAAAAATCTACTTTAAGTTAAATAATTCTTTTTGGTGATTTGAGATGAGCTCTTTCATTGACTTATCAAGCTAATAAGTAATTAATTTTTCATACAATCAAGTTATATCTACACAAACTATTAAAATACACAATACACAAATTTATATTTCTGAAAATGATACAGTCAACTCAAAAAATCTAGTTAATTTGCAATAGCCAAGATTTAAAAGCAATCTAAATGTCCATCAACAGACAAATGGATAAAAAAGAATATAGTACATATACAAAATGGACTACTATTGAGCCATAAGGAACATGAGATTCAGTCACTTGCAACAACATGGATGGAACTGGGGGCATTATGTTAAGTGAAATAAGTCAGGCACAGAAACGCAAGCTTCATATGTATTCACTTATTTGTGGGAGCTAAAAATTAAAACTATTGAACTCATGAAGATAGAGAGTAGAAGGATGGTTACCAGAGGCTGGGAAGGGTAGTGATGGTGTGAAGGGATAGAGCATGGTTAATGGATATGAAAACAAAGATAAAATGAATAAGATCTAATATTTGATTGCACAGTAAGGTGACTACAGTCAACAATAATTTATTGCACATTTATAAACAAGAGTATAATTGGATTTGTTTATAACTCAAAGAAAGGACAAATGCTTGAGGTAATGAATACCCCATTTATCCTGATGTGCTTATTACACATTGTATTCCTGTTTCAGAATATTTCATGTACTCCATGAATATATACCCCCACTATGTATCCACAAAAATTAAAAATTAAATAAATAAAATGCACTGCACGCCTTCTTAAGTAAAAACAAAATCAAGTTAAATTACTTTATGTAGATCATATTCCCTTTAGTACTTAATTTTACAAATTGTAGTGGAAGTTTAATAATTTATGACTCTGAAAGATTTTGTTCCCCTATCAGTCAATGTTTATATTATACAACTATCTGATATATATATATATATATATATATATCTTAACAACTATATAATATGAAGATATTTAAATATTGCTATATTTTCTCTATAGCATCATGCAAATTTCTCAACACTAAGGTAAAAGAACTCATGCATACTGAAGTCCAGAAAATATAATTTTCCTTAAAATAGTATATTATGCTTAGTATCTCCTTACCTAGACACATTATTAAGTATCTTGGCAGGTAGCATTCTAAAACAATCTTTAATGATCCTCACCTCCTGTGTAGCTGAACCCAGTGACTTGCTTCTAATGGGTACAATAAGGCAAAATCATGAAATATTTCTTCTAGGATTAGGTTACAAAAGCCTGAAAGTTTCATCTTGTATGCTTCTGCTCTCTTGCACTCTCTTGCTCTCTCTATCTATCTATTTCTCTCCCCCTCATGTTGGCACTTATTCTCTCTGTCTTCTTTACAGCAAGGAACTGAGGGTGGCTTTCAGCCAACAGCCCTTGAAGAAGTGAATCCTGTTGAAAACCATATGAGTAAGTTTAGAAGAAAATCCTTCCCTAGTTGAGCCTTCAAATGAGACCACAGACTGCTGACCACTTGATTTTGGCATGTGAGCAACCCTGAAGTAGAGAACCTGGCTAAACCTTGCCTAGATTCCAGACCCACTGAAATTATGGAATAACAAATGGGTGTCGTTTTAAGCCACTAAATTTTGGAGTAATTTGTAATGCAACAATAGATAACCAATATAATCATTTAGCCACTTGTCTCTATCTAAATCTGCAGTGTACAATAGAACACCATTTAGAACTATAAGGAGAGAGCTTTAGCCTTGGCAACTGTCTTATTGCACAGCACTTATGCTGACATTGCCAAAGCAGAGGATTATTGTTCCTTTACTTCTCAAACCAAATAAACACAGCAGTTCTCTTTCAGTCTATTTCATGATAAATGTGTACCCACTTTACTAGAGTCTGAATATTTTCCATCATACCTATGAATAAATAAGTGAATTTTTCTACCTCCATAAAACATATTCTGATATTTTAGCTGAGATGTGAGTAATATGTAAGCAAATGAACAGGGCATAAATGTTTAGTTTGATAAGTTTTGAACAATTATGTATACCTATTTAGCCACCACCCAAAAAGCCATAGAATGTTTCCATTACCCTAGAAAATTTATTCTTGAATTTTTTTTCTGTCACTATTTCTTCCCACTCAACTCTCCAGTTCTAAATTATCTGATTTTTTCAACATATATTAGCTTTTCCTTAAGTAGATTTTATATGAATGGATTTAAACACACTGTGTAGTGTTTTGTGTCTGGATCACTTAGCTGAACATTATAATTTTTATATTTATTCATGTTGCAGAATGTATTCGTAGTTTCATTTTTCATTGCTGAGATTATTTCATTTAAGTGGATATACTACTATTTGCTTATTCATTCATTTGCTGTTGGGCATTTGGGTTATTTAAAATTTTGCCTATTATGAATAAATCTACTATAAATATTTGAGTACAAGTCTTTGTGTAAATATATGTTTTTATTTGTGCTTGGTAAGTACCTAGGGGCTGGATTTCTTTGCAAGCATATAGATAACTTTTTGAAAAACTGTCAGAGTTATTCCATTTCATAACCCTATTAGAAATTCTGGAGAGTTCCAGTTGCTTGACATCCTTGGTAACATTTCATCTTTTCAGTCATATTTATCTTAGCCATCATAGTAGGTAAAAATGATGTCTTGCTGTGGTATTAATTTGAATTTCTTTGATAGATAATGAGATTATGCATTTTTTCATGTGATTATTGATGATTCATATGTATCTTTCTGATTTTTATGTTGAATTGCTTGGAGTTTTATTGCCATATGTGTATGTGTGTACTATATATGAAATATTAGATATAGTATTATAATTATATAGTATATAAGTCTTTTATTTAGATGTATATGCTGTGAATATTTTTCCCAGATAGTAGCTTGTTTATTAATTTCTCGACAGAGACTTTTGATGAGCCAAAATGTTAAGTTTTGATAATGTCTAGTTATCTCTTTTTAAATGTTATGGTTTATGCTTATCTTAGCCTGTCCAAGAAATCTTTGTCAGCTTTGAGGTTGTGAATTTTCTTTGAGAAGCTTTATGGTTCTGATTTTTAAATTTAGGTCTATGATCTATCTCAATTGTTCTTTCTGGGCATGTTAATTGAGATAGTGGTCTCGATTAACTTTTTTTTTATGTAGACATTCAGTGGTTCCAGCAAAATGTGTTAAATACGTTTCTTTCCCTCATCCAGTGAGTTTGCCAGTTTTGTCAAACCTCAGCTATAAATCCTTGGGTCTGTTTCTGGACTCTAGCCTCTTCCATCATTTATTTTTCTGACATTACATGAATACCGCACCCTATCTCTAGTTTTACTGTAAGCATTAAAGTCATATAGTTCAAGTCTCCCAATGTTTTTTCTCCAAAATCGATTTAACTGTTTCAAATGCTCTAACTTTTCATAAGAATTTTAGAATGATCTTGTGTATTATGTATTTCTTGAAAACAGCCTGGTGGAATTTTGAAAAGGATTGCATTGAATCTATAAATATAGTAAGAATGAACATCTTAATACTGAGTCTCTTGATCAATAATAATCTTATGTCTCTCTATGTATTTATGTTTTCTTTAATGTCAGTAATGTTTACAATTTTGAATGTCGAGGCACTTTTTTTTGCATTTATTACTAAGTATGTTTGTCAGGAACTATGTAGCATCTGAGATTTTACCTACTTGCAAGCTAACAAGATAACCTGTCATAGTTGCATGGACGTTAGCAGAAGACAAGAGACTGCCGTCAGAGACAAAGAAGAGTTTATTAATCACAGTGATAGCAGTAGCCAGAGTATCAGCATTTATATATATATTATATAATAAACTCCCATATATAGATATATCTATATATCTATATATGGGAGTTTATTAAGTATTAACTTACACAATCGCAAGGTGGTGACAAAGAAATTTGGAGAAGAGGTATAAGAATGGACCTCTCTGAGTGGTCAAAAACTGTGAAGATATTTATATCCCATGTGAGTGCTCACCAACGAGTGCCTCAGCAGAGGAGAATTTTAATAATCAAGTGGATAGAATGGCCTGATCTGTGGACACCAGTCGGCCTGTTTCCCTAGCCACCCCTGTCATTGCCCAGTGGGCCCATGAACAAAGTGGCCATGATGGCAGGGATGGAGGTTGCACATGGGCTCAGCAACATGGACTTCCACTCACCAAGGCTGACCTGGCTACAGCCACTGCTGAGTGCCCAATTTGTCAGCAGCAAAGACCAACACTGAGCCCTCGATATGGCACCATTCCTCAGGGTGATCAGCCAGCTACCTGGTGGCAGGTTGATTGTACTGGACCTCTTCCAACATGGAAAGGGCAGAAGTTTGTCCTCACTTGAATAGACACTTACTACTCTGGATGTGGGTTTGCCTATCCTGAACGCAATGCTTCTGCCAAGACTACCATCCATGGACTCATAGAATGTCTTATCCACAGTCATGGTATTCCACACAGCACTGGCTCTGACCAAGGCACTCATTTTATGGCTAAAGAAGTGCAGCAGTGGGCTCATGCTTATGGAATTCACTGGTCTTACCATGTTCCCCATCACCCTGAAGCAGCTGGATTGGTAGAACAGAGGAAAGACCTTTTGAAATCACAATTATAATGCCAACTAGGTGACAATACTTTGCAGGGCTGGGGCAAAGTTCTCCAGAAGGCCGTGTATGCTCTGAATCAGCATCCAATATATGGTACTGTTTCTCTCATAGCCAGGATTAATGGATCTAGGAATTAAGGAGTGGAAGTGGAAGTGGAACCACTCACCATCATCCCTAGTGATCCACTAGCAAAATTTTTGCTTTCTATTCCCACAACATTACGTTCTGCTGGCCTAGAGGTCTAAGCTCCAGAGGGAGGAACGCTGCCACCAAGAGACACAACAACGATTTCATTAAACTGGAAGTTAAGATGGCCACCCGGACACTTTGGGCTCCTCCTACGTTTAAGTCAACAGACTAAGAAGGGAGTTACAGTGTTGGCTGGGGTGATTGACCCGGACTATCAAGATGAAATCAGTCTACTACTCCATAACGAAGATAAGGAAGAGTATACATGGAATACAGGAGATCCATTAGGGCATCTCTTAGTATTACCATGTCCTATGATTAAGGTCAATGGGAAACTACAATAGCGCAATCGAGGAAGGACTACAAATGGTCCAGACCCCTGAGGATTGAAGGTTTGGGTCACTCCACCAGGAAAAAAAAAAACGTGATCTGCTGAGGTGCTTGCTAAAGGCAAAGGGAATACAGAATGGGTAGTAAAAGAAGGTAGTCATCAATACCAACGATGACCACGTGACCAGCGGCAGAACCAAGGACTGTAACTGTCATGAGTATTTCCACCTTCTTTTGTTAAAAATATGTTTGTCCATGTATACACTTGTACTAAGAAAATATCTTCATTTTATTTTCTTTTCCTTTATCATGTGACATAAGATTTATTGACTTCATATCAGCATTTAAATATTGTTAACTTTATGTAATAGCATTTGGGTTGGGGATTGGTCCATTTCTGGTTGTACAAAGGACAGTTGTATTATGTTAGGCATAATTATGACATTATTGTCTTTATTTGAAGATTATATGTGATCTCAGGAGTTGTGTATGGGTTCAAGTTGAAAAGGGGTGGACTTGCCCAGGCACAGTGGCTCATGCTTGTAATCCCAGCATTTTGGGAAGCCGAGGCGGAAGAATCACCTGAGGTCAAGAGTTCGAGACCAGCCTTGCCAACATGGGGAAACCCTGCCTCTGCTAAAAATACAAAAATTAGCTGGGTGTGGTGGCTGGCACCTGTAATCCTAGCTACTCAGGAGGCTGAGGCAGGAGAATTACTTGAACCAGGGAGGCGGAGGTTGCAGTGAGCCAAGATCGCACCATTTGCACTCCAACCTGGGTGACAAGAGCAAGACACCATCTCAAAAAAAAAAAAAAAAAAGAAAGAGAAAGGGGTGGACTTGTGATGGTTAATACTGAATGTCAACTTGATTGGATTAAAGTATGCAAAGTATTGACCTAGGGTGTGTCTCTGAGGTCGTTGCCAAAGGAGATTAACATTTGAGTCAGTGGGCTGGGGAAGGCAGACCCACCCTTCATCCTGTGGGCACAATCTGATCAGCTGCCAGCGAATTTAAAGCTGGCAGAAATATGAAAAGATTAGACTGGCCTAGCCTCCCAGCCTACATCTTTCTCTCATGCTGGATGCTTCATGCCCTGAAACATCAGACTCTAAGTATTTCCGTTTTAAGACTCAGACTGTCTCTCCTTGCTCTTCAAGCTTGCAGATAGCCTATTGTGGAAACTTGCGATTGTGTAAGTTAATACATATATACATATATATATATATGTATGGGAGTTTATGTATATATATAGGGGATATATATATAGATAGATATAGGATATATATATAAAAGCATAGGATATATATATAGATAGATACTAATAGGATATATATATCCTATTAGTTCTGTCCCTCCAGGGAATCCTGACTAATACACTCACCTATGAGATTGTTGACATAATGCTTTCTTATGCATAGTTGGACTAAGGTGCCAGTTTTTCATAAGTTATTGACTACAGGCCTCATGCAATTTCTTGCTATATGTACCTCTCTATAAAATATCACAACGTGACACGTAGCTTCATCAGAGCAAGTGAGAAAGTGGGCAAGAGAGTGCCAGAAAGAGTGTGAGCAAGGGAGAAGACACCTGAAGACACAAGTGATATCTCATCACTTTTGTCATATTTGTTGGTTTGAAGCAGGTGACTAGGTGTAGCCTACCCTAAAGAAGAGTAGATCGCATGAGGGGGTAAATAGTAAGTGGTGGGGATCATTGGGAACCATATCAGAAGCTTCCTTCCATAGTGTGTTTAATCATCATAACCTTTCTGTGATATTCTCTAGAGTTTTCTTAATGCATGTATTTAAAGCTCTATGGTTAGAAAACAAATATAGTACCAAGAATCTACTTCCCAAGTCTGCATTTTATTCAAAAACTCTATTGAAGTGTTATTGTATATTTGTATGTCTTTTCTAAGAAAATTTTGCCTGCACTGAGATCACAGATTTTCTGTTTTATCTGGTGTCAGTTTTGGTAAACTGTATTTCAAGAAGTTAAAATTTTTGGCACAATGTTATCGTTAACATTCTCCTGTTACTCTTTTAATATGCATAGGATATGCCATGATAATCCATCACTTGTTCTTGATATTACCCACACTCTCTATCTTTCTGTATTTTCTTGTTCTGTCTAGTAGGGGCTTATCAATTTTATTGTTCCTTTTAAAGAATCCACTTTTTAATTCTAAAATTTTCTTGGTTGCTGGTCTATTTCATTGATTTCTACTCTATATTTTTCTTTTTTTTTCTATGCATAATGGGTTTAATTTGCTCTACTGTTTCTAGGTTCTTAAGGTGCATCATTGATTTGGAACTTTCTTCTTCTCACATAGAAATATTTAAAGCCATTATTTTCCCCCTAAACACTGCTTTAGCTCTGTATCACCAAGTTTGACATATTGTATTTTCAATATCACTGTTAAAAATATTATCTAATTTTCATTGCAATGTCTTCTAAGACCCATGAATTATTTATCAGTGAGTTGTTATTTTACAAATGTTCAAGGTTTTCCTGGGTATCTGTGATGGCTAATATTGAGTGTCAACTTCATTGGATTGAAGAATGCAAAATATTGTTCCTAGGCGTGTCTGTGAGGGTGTTGCCAAAGGGGATTAACATTTGAGTCACTAGACTGAGAGAGGCAGACCCACCCTCAATCTGGGTGGGCACCATCTAATCAGCTGCCAGCACAGCTAAGATAAAAGCAGACAGAGGAATGTGGAAGAACTAGACTGGCTGAGTCTTCTGGCCTCAATCTTTCTCCCTCACTGGATGATTCATGCCTTGAACATCAGTCTCCAAGTTCTTCAGCTTTTTGAATCTTGGACTTACACCAGTGGTTTTCCAGGGGCTCTGGAGCCTTTGGCCACAGACTGAAGGCTGCACTGTTGGCTTTTCTACTTTTGAGGTTTTGGGACTCAGACTGTCTTCCTTGCTCCTCAGCTTGCAGATGGCCTATTGTGGGACTTCACTTTATGTCTGTGTGAGTCAATACTCCTTAATAAACTCCCCTTCATATCTACATCTATTCTATTAGTCCTGTCCCTCTAGAGAACCCTGACTAGTAAAATACCTTATTGTTGCAAATTTCTAACTTGATTTTACTCCGCTCAGAGAATATACCTTGCATAATTTAATTTCTTTTAAATATATTGTGATTTGCTTAACTGCCCTGCAAATGCTCTTAGTAAACATACCATGAGTGCTATACTTAATATTTTGTATTGTAAATATCAGTTCGTTCAAATTTTATAATATTTTTCAGATCTTCTGTGTGTTTACTGATATTTTGTGTAGTTTTTTCTATAAATTTCTGAGAAGGTGGTGCTAAAAATATCTTTTGTGAGATACAGTTCTCCTTGGACCTCTTGCATTCCTATGTATTTTGCTGGGTGTGCCAATACTGCAAAGCTCTGATCCTTCTTTTACCTGGGCCATTTTTGGGGGTTGTTAATGTCACTGATAGCATTGAGAGAAAAAGTGCCATCCCCCAGCCTCCAGAAAAGCTGCGTACTCACCTACTGCTTGTAATAAAAGCAGTGGCTTCCCCAGTCTGAATTTCTGAGATACATTATGCACCCATCTGAGCCCATCCTGTTTCCCTCATGAGACTTGGGGGCAAAGAGAACTGATAGAAGTATGCTAATGCTTATGCTGCTTGCCATGAAAAATAATTCCTTTTTTTCTGACCCAAGAGCCTTGTATTTTCAGTCAGCATCCATGAAACAGTAGTTGGCTAATTTCTCATAAGTAGGGTAAATTCAAATACCAGATCCAATATTCTACTGTGATGATAGATTGATTTATTTCTCTTTATAATTCTATAAATTATTGATGAAGTAAAAAGCTATACTGTATAAGCCCATGTGGCAAGGAGTGGCAGGTGGCCTCCAAGAACTGTTAGAAGCCTCTAGGAATTGAGAGTGGCCTCCTGTTGATAGTTAGTAAAAAGTTGGAGCCCTCTGATACAGTTTGGATATTTGTTCCCCCAAATCTCATGTTAAAATGTAATTGCCAATGTTGGAGGTGGGACCTGGTGGGAGGTGTGTGGGTCATGGGACAGATCCCTCATAGCTTGTTGCTGTTCTTGTGATAGTGAGTTCTTGTAAGATCTGGTTATTAAAAAGTGTGTGGCACCCCCCACCACTCTCACTCTTGCTCCTGCTACCTCCATGTGATATACCTGCTCCCTCTTCACCTTCCACCATAATTGGGAGCTTCCTGAGGCCCTCACCAGAAGCAGATGACAGCACCATGCTTCTTGCACAGCCTGCAGAACTGTAAGCCAGTTAAACCTCTTTTCTTTATAAATTACCCAGTCTTAGGTATAGCAACAAAAGGACAGCTTAACAGGCCCACAGTCATACAAATAAATTCTGCAAACAATTGGAATGAGCTAGAGAAACAGGTTCTTCCCCAGTAAAGCTTCTAGATGAGAACTCGGCACAGCTGAACACCTTGATTATATCCTTGTAACTCTGAACTGAGGATTTAGTTAAGCTGTGCCTAGTTTCCTGGGCATAGGAACTAAGAAATAATGAATATATATTGTTTCATGTGGTTAAATTTGTATAATTTGTTATGCAGCAACAGGAAACTAATACAGTCTCTGTTGATTGTCTTTCTCTTGAGAAAATCACAGTTTCCTGGTTCTTTTTATGTCAAATAATTTTAGATTATATTCTGGATATTGTGAATGTTATGTTGTGGAAACTCTAGATTCTATCATATTCCTTTGAATAGTGTTGATATTTCTGTTTTGGTAGGCAATTAACATGATTTGAATTGAAACTGCAAACACTGCCTCACCTGTGGAATCCCAAATCTTAGTTCAGTTTTTTTTTTGTTTGTTTGTTTGTTTTTTGTCCTGATGCATGGTTCAGAAACGTGGGCAGAATTAATACCCCTCCAAGGTGTATCACTTCTAAGAGGAATTGGTCTTTCACTTCTCTGGCTGTTTTCTTTTCAGGATTATCCTTCGTTTTCTCATGGCAGTGACCACTTGAGCTCTGCATTTTTATTTTTTAGTCCAGAAAGACCGTGAGCTTTTTCTTGGAGTTTCAACTTTCCACCTTCAGTCCAAAGTTTGTAAATCCCAGGAACTCATACCATGCCCTTTTCTTTTTCTTTTTTTTTTTTTTTGAGACAAAGTCTCTCTTGTCCCCAGGCTGGAGTGCGATGGCGCAATCTCGGCTCACTGCAGCCTCCACCTCTCGGGTTCAAGCGATTCTCCTGCCTCAGCCTCCCGGGTAGCTGGGATTACAGGCGCCTGCCACCACACCCAGCTAATTTTTGTATTTTTAGTAGAGGTGGGGTTTCACCTTCAGTCCAAAGTTTGTAAAACCCAGGAACTCATACCATGCCCTTTTCTTAATTCAAGTTTTGACTCACTTCCAAAATCTCTTAGCTTTTGTCCACAGCTTTTATTCATATTCTTCAGGTAGTTATTCTGTATTTTCTCTAAAATTTTTAGCTATAATCTGTGGAATGATCAGTCTCTTAGAGGTTTATTCCTCTATGACAGAAACAGACTTACCAAGCCTATGCATCAATCAATAGATTACAGGTGTACATATTTTCCAAGTGTTTCATTTTATTAAAATGTGAGTTATATTATTCAATCTATATAACATCTACATTTATGGACTAGCTAATGATCTGCAATAAAATACTACTCATTGCATTACTGTGCAGTATCGATGAAGTCATAAAGGCTTGCTAAGTTTGTGTTGTATATTCAATATGTATTTAAACTTATACCATAACTTATCTCTTTTTGTTGCTTCAGTATTTTTAGTGAATGAGGATTAACAACCATGTATTCTGCCTTTGGACCATTACTATATATTGAACCCATAACATGTGTCTATTATTCTTCATACATATTCAGAGCATATCTTATAACAGTTCCTTTGGAACCATTATCCACATATGCTGTGAATGCATATTAACAGCAGAATACATTTACATATTATGAGCTCATGATATTGAATGCATAGTAAAATCTTTACAAGAATATAGTTATAATATTCCAAAGTTATTTACTTAAACATGTTACTTACTATTCTACCATTCCTTAAATGTTATTTCTAAATTTTTAGTAGATATTTTCAGAAATCCCATGTTTCCAGAGGACTACATTATGAAATAAAAGTTTCTCTCTCTTTTTTCTAACAGGAAGCTTCTTGCTCATATTCTCAACAACAGAATACAGTCTACATAGGTAAAAGAATTAGCAACTTTAGTTGTGATGAACACATTTTCATCATGAGCTCATTGCAGAGCTCTTATTTTTAATGGCCCTGTAATAGAAGCAAAAGTTTTGATAAACTTCCGAAAGTCTCCAAATTCTATAAGATATAAATGAAATGAAATTTGGAGCCATTTGACAAATTAAGTTATTATATCTAGCTAGTTGTACATCAACCAAATAACCTAAACTCTTAATATGAACCCAACATGACTTTTTGTTTTCTGAGGAATCTTTGAGATTCAGCTGGTTGCTACAAGAGCTGTGAATTTTTGCGTGATTTTTAAGTGCCTTGGATAGCATTATAGGGTCATAGGCTGAAGTCTGAGTGACTTTAAGCAGCCAAGAAATGCTCTCTAGAAAAGCAGGGTATTTATGTCTCAGTACTACAATGAAATCAAATTTTGCAATAGCAGAAAACAAAAGAGACAGACCTCTGCACTTCGGTAGCATTAATAACATGATCATTAAATCTAAGATACCTAATCAGAAGACTCCAACTGAGTACCGTGTTCTAAAGTCACGTCATAATCTAGATCATGTTGCTCCAGCCAGTAGTCATTTATTCCACTCACGTGATTAATTCAAAATGCCAAATAGCAAAAGTTTAATTTTGTAAGTAAATATAATATTGTATCAACTGCAAAATAAAATTATCACATCACTTCAAGAATAAACATTTTTTAAATGCAAAACCTTTGCATTTATAGGGAAGTAGCTCTTTTTCAACATGATGATCAAGTTAGTATCAAACTTATTAAAGTTATTAAAAATATCTGTGGGGATAAACACTGAAAATGGGAACAGATAAAGAAATAAGAAATGCGTTTACAATACATTTATATTTTAGAGAAAACAATATTTATTATAGGAGATGCATGGCGATGTATTCCCCTTTTATTCCAAATATACTTTTTCTGTTTTCTGTTAGTCAGTTCCACTGGGCTAGATTTAGAACTCTTTCTTCAAGTGAAATTCTACCTAAGACCATGTGTGAAACAGATAAATGTCAATAAATGAATCACTTTAAAATTTTTTTATGGGTCTGTGGAAACTTCTTCAGTTTTAGGCATGATCCTTGATGCACTTCCATGGAGCTGGAGGGTGTAAAAACAGTGCACAAGCTACTCAGCTCTTAGAGGTCAGGGCCATGTCTGTCTTACATTTCAGGATACTTTCTGTAACTTTCATGGTGCCTGGCCCAGAGTAGGTGTTCTGAATGTCTCTGAATGAATGAAATAAATGAATATCTTAAAATGTTGTTCCTTTTTGTAACCTCAACTAGTGCAGGTAGACAAAGCTGTATTTATCCAATTGTGTTACAATTGCTGTGACAATAAAGATATATGGCATATACAATGAAATAGTAAAATATATTACATGGCATGTTTAGAAGCAGAGCACAATACAAAGATCCCCACACTAGACGAGAGTCATGAATTTGGGGTTCTGTTCAAAGTTCTTCTTTTACCTTGCAAATGATCTTTGTTATCACTGGGGCTTGTGCCAGTGTTACCTCATCTGTAATATAGTAGTATCTGACCAGAATCTGTTAGCTTTTAACATCTTTACAACAGTAAAATTTGTATAGTAATACAACCTCAAATATCATGAGATATTTCTTAATTGTTGACAGAGTAGATATTCCAAATTGTTTCTTCAAACTGTTAATAAATTTTAGGTACAAAAATAGTGCAGACCCATACAACAAACATTCTTGGACGTTCACAGTTTAGGTAGGTTTTAGGGATTGTCATATCGTCCATCACTTCTCCTGAATTTTTATCATTCTACTTTTCATGTTAGTATTTAAAGATATAATTTAATTGCATCTTTATTTTAAATAGAGAGAGATTAAATAAAGAATGAAAGTAGAAATGACAGATGGAGGCAAATGTTTCAATTCTGAGAAAAAATTGTTCAGATTTCTACTCTTTATAGAGAATGATACTACTGTGAAAAACTAGATATAGACAAATAGTCTTTCTAAGTAGAAACTCATCAGGCAAATAAAATTGAGATAGGGTTGACATTATGTGACATGAAAATTGTTTTTTTAAACCGGTACAGCTACTGCAAAAACACACTGAATTATAAAGACCAATGAAACTATGAAGAAACTGCATCAACTAACAGGCAAAATAACCAGCTAGCATCATGATGACAGGATCAAATTCACACATAACAATATTAACCTTAAATGTAAATGGGCTAAATGCCCCAATTAAAAGACACAGACTGGCAAATTGGATAAAGTGTCAAGAGTTGTCGGTGTGCTGTATTCAGGAGACCCCTCTCACATGCAAAGACACACACAGGCTCAAAATAAAACATACAAATAGAAAGCAGAAAAAAGCAGAGATTGAAATCCTCGTCTCTGACATAACATACTTTAAACCAACAAAGAGCAAAAAAGACAAAGGGCATTACATAATGGAAAAGGGATCAATTCAACAAGAAAAGCTAACTATCCTAAATATATACACAACCAATACGGAAGCACTGAGATTCATAAAACAAGTTCTTAGAGACCTACAAAGAGACTTAGATTCCCAAACAATAATAGTGGGAGACCATAACACCCCACTGTCAATATTAGACAGATCAATGAGACAGAAAATTAACAAGGATGTTCAGGACTTGAACTCAGCTCTGGGTCAAATGGACCTAATAGATATCTACAGAACTCTCCACCCCAAATCAACAGAATATACATTCTTCTCAGTCCCACATGGCACTTAAAATATTCTTAAAATCGACCACATAATTGGAAGTAAAGCACTCCTCAGGAAATGCAAAAGAACTGAAATAATAACAGTCTCTCTGATCACAGTGAAATCAAATTAGAACCCTAGTTTAAGAAACTCACTCAAAACCATACAACCACATGGAAATTGAACAGCCTGCTCCTGAATGACTCTGGGTTAAATAATGAAATTAAGACAGAAATCAAGAAGTTATTTGAAACCAATGAGAAAAAGGAGACAACATACCAGAATCTCTGGGACACAAAGCAGTGTTAAAAGGGAAATTTAGCTGGACACGGTGGCTCACAACTGTAATCCTAGCACTTTGGGAGGCTGAGGTGGAAGGATTGCCTGAGCTCACGAGTTTGAGACCAGCATGGGCAACACAGTGAAGCCCCATCTCTACTAAAATGCAAAAACTTAGCTGGGCATGGTGGCGTGAGCCTGTAATCCCAGCTACTCAGGAGGCCAAGGTAGTAGAATTGCTTGAACCTGGGAGGCGGAAGTTGCAGTGATCCAAAGTTGTGCCACTGCACTCCAGCCTGGGTGACAGAGTGAGACTGTGTCTCAAAAAAAAAAAAAAAGGGAAATTTATAGCACTAAATACCCACATCAAAAAGCTAAAAAGATCTCAAATCGACACTCCAACATCACAATTAAAAGAAGTAGGGAAGCAAGAGCAAACAAATACAAAAACTAGCAGAAGACAAGAAATAACTAAGATCAGAGCAGCGCTAAAGGAGGTAGAGACAGGAAAAACCCTTAAAAAATCAATGAATCCAGGAGCTATTGTTTTTGAAAAAATTAATAAAATAGACCACTAGCTAGACTAATAAAGAATAAAAGAGAAAATAATTAAATAGACACAATAAAAATGATAAAGGGGATATTACCACTGACCCCACAGAAATACAAACTGTCATCAGAGAATACTATAAACACCTCTACACAAATAAATTAGAAAATCTAGAAGAAATAGATAAATTCCTGGACACATATACCCTCCCAGGACTAAACCAAGAAGAAGTTGAATCCCTGAATAGACCAATAACAATTTCTAAAATTGAGGCAGTAATAAATAGCCTACCAACCAAAAAAAAGCCTAGGACCAGACAGATTCACAGCCGAATTCTACCAGAGGTACAAAGAGGAGCTGGTACCATTCCTTCTGAAATTATTCCAAATAATTGAAGGAGGGACTCCCCCTAACTCATTTTATGAAGCCAGCATCATCCTGATACCAAAACCTGGAAGAGACACAACAAAAGAGAAAACTTCAGGCCAATATCCCTGATGAACATCAATGCAAAAATCCTTAATAAAATACTGGCAAATCGAATCCAGCAGCATATCAAAAAGCTTAGCCACCACAATCAAGTTTGGCTTCATCCCTGGGATCTGAGGCTGATTTAACATACAAAAATTAATAAATATAATCCATCACATAAACAGAACCAATGACAAAAACCACATGATTATCTCAATAGACGCAGAAAAGGCCTTTGATAAAAGTCAATATCCCTTCATGTTAAAAACTCTCAATAAACTAGATATTGATGGAACATATCTCAAAATAATAAGAGCTACTTACGACAAACCCACAGCCAACATCATACTGAAGGGAATCTTGGAAAACCGGCACAAGACAAGGATGCCCTCTCTCACCACTCCTATTCAACATAGTATTGGAAGTTCTAGCCAGGGCAATCAGATAAGAGAAAGAAATAAAGGGTATTCAAATAGGAAAAGAGGAAGTCAAATTGTCTCTGTTTGTGGCTGATATGATCCTATATTTAGAAAACTCCATCATCTCAGCCCAAAAGCTCCTTAAGCTGATAAGCGACTTCAGCGAAGTCTCAGGATACAAAATCAATGTGCAAAAATCACAAGCATTCCTTTACACCAATAATAGACAGAGAATCAAATCATGAGTGAACTCCCATTCACAATTGCTGCAAAGAGAAGAAAATACCTAGAAATACAACTTTGTAAGTTGTAAGAGGGATGTGAAAGACCTCTTCAAGGAGAACTACAAACCACTGCTAAAGGAAATAAGAGAGGACACAAACAAATGGAAAAACATTCCATGCTCACGGAGAGGAAGAATCAATATCGTGAAAATGGCCATACTGCCCAAAGTAATTTATAGATTCAATACTATCTCCATCAAGCTACATTGACTTTCTTCAACAGAATTAGAAAAAAATCTACTTTAAAATTCATATGGAACCAAAAAAGAGCCTGTATAGCCAGGACAATCCTAAGCAAAAAAAAAAAAAAAAAAAAAACACACAGCTGGATGCATCACACTACCTGACTTCAAAGTATACTACAAGGCTGCAGTAACCAAAACAGCATGGTACTGGAACCAAAACAGATATATAGACTAACAGAACAGCATAGAGACCTCAGAAATAACACCACACATCTACAACCATCTGATTTTCAACAAACCTGACAAAAACAAGCAATGGGAAAAGGATTCCCTATTTAATAAATGGTGCTGGGAAAACTGGTTAGCCATATGCAGAAAATTAAACTGGACCCCTCCCTTACACCCTATACAAAAATTAACTCAAGATGGATCAAAGGCTTAAATGTAAAACCCAAAACCATAAAAACCCTTGTAGAAAATCTAGGTGATACCTTTCAGGACATAGGTATGGGCACAGATTTTAAGATGAAATCACCAACAGCAATTGCAGCAAAAGCAAAAATTGACAAATGGGATCTAACGAAACTAAAGAGCTTCTGCAGAGCAAAAGACACTATCATCAGAGTGAACAGCCTACCTACACAATGTAAGAAAATTTTTGCAATCTACCCATCTGACAAAGGTCTAATAGCCAGAATGTACAAGGAATTTAAACAAATTTACAAGAAAAAAGAAAAAAAACATCAAAAAGTGGGCAAAGAACATGAACAGACACTTCTCAAAAGAAGACATTTATGCAACCAACAAACATATGAAAAAAAGCTCAACATCACGAAAATGCCAATGAAAACCACAATGAGATACCCATCTCATGCAAGTCAGAATGCCGATCAGTAAAAAGTCAGGAAACAACAGATGCTGGCGAGGCTGTGGAAAAATAGAAATGCTTTTACACTGTTGGTGGGAGTGTAAATTAGGTCAACCATTGTGGAAGACAGTGTGGTGATTCCTCAAGGATCTAGAACAAGAAATACCATTTGACATGGCAATCACATTACTGGGTATATACCCAAAGGATTATAAATCATTCTACTGCAAAGATGCATGCACACATATTTATTGCAGCACTATTTACAATAGCAAAGACTTGGAACCAACCCAAATGCCCATCAATGATAGACTGGATAAAATAAATGCGACACATATACACCATGGATTACTATGCAGCCATAAAAAGGCATGAGATCATGTCCTTTGCAGGGACATGAATGAAGCTGGAAGACATCATCTTCAGCAAACTAACACAGGAAGAGAAAACCAAATAGCTCATGTTCTCACTCTCAAGTGGGAGTTGAACAATGAAAATAGATGGACACAGAGAGGGGAACAACACACACCAGTGGGCAGCAGTGAGGGGAGGGAGAGCATCAGGACAAATAGCTAAGGCATGCAGGGCTTAAAACCTAGATGATAGGTTGATAGGTGCAGCAGACCACACACATACCTATGTAAAAAACCTGCACATTCTGCACATGTATCCCACAATTTAAAGTATAATTTAAAAAAGAAAAGAAAAGAAAGTTATTTCTTTGAGAGTGGGTGCCATGTTTTGGTGAGTTTTTTAATATTTTTTCAGTCAATTTTCAAAATTTCTAACACTGATCTCAGTGTTGGAGAAATGTATCCAGTACCTGTTGATCAAAAACAATGAAAAGAAGAAAAGAAACAGAAAACATGCAAACTTTTGATAGGACACATATTGAATGTATATACTTCATATAAAATTTAATTTATACAGCATGGTTCATTTAACTCTGTTTACTTAATATATAAAAATAGCTGCTACAGTCTAGAGATTGAGCTAATCACTGCTCAGAACTTCAAAACGAATAAAACATGATTCTGCCTTAAATTATTTAACAGTAAGCAAGATAATACAAAATAGAGTCCATAAAAGAGACAAACTGTGCCACATCAAATGGTATCTATATACACAGAAAATATGGAGCTGTATCATGAATATAACTGTCCTTCCATACCTGCATTCTGCATTTGAGGATTCAAACAACTGCAGATCAAAGTATTAAATATACATATATAAGTTTTAGAACTAACATTTGCACAGCATTTGCATTGTGTTAGGTATTATAAGTAATCTAGAGGCAAGTTAAAGTATATAAGAGGATGTGTGTAGGTTATTTGCAAATACGACCCCATTTTATCCCATTTTATTTAAGGGACTTGAGCATTCAAGATTTGGGTATCCACAGGGATTCTAGAATGGATTCCCCTTAGATGCCAAGGACCAACTGTACTCACAAATAAATAGAACTGGGTAGCTGTAGTGCTTTAGGAATATGCTATAGTTCACTCACCCCAACAACTCAGCTCTACCTCATTGTCATTTTCTCTTGGCTGAAGCATCAGTTCCACAGAAAATGATTTATCACTTCACTATCAGCTTCATTTCTGATAAAACAACACTATGTTGCTCAAGGAGGAAACTTCTTATGTCCAGAACTAGCAAAAGGCAACAAAAAGACTGTCATTTCTCTAACATTGTCAATACCATAGATATATGCATACACTTTAAAAATAAAACATTCATAATAGATAATTTCTCAGTCTTTTACCAGACAGGCGCCCTGTGTGTGTGCGTGTGTGTGCGTGTGTGTGCACACACATTGTAGTGTGTTAACTATGTGTAATTCATAATAATTAGTCAAGTTTTCTTTTCTCTTTGACCACATGTATATGTGTGTGTATTTATGTATATGTATATATGTATGTATATATATATACACATACCTGCATCTCCTGATGCATATCTGCATCTCCTGATGCATCTCCTGATGCAGACCTCCTGATGTCTGCATCTGCACACATCTGTGTGTGTGTGCGTGCACACACATTGTAGTGTGTTAACTATGTGTAATTCATAATAATTAGTCAAGTTTTCTCTTTGACCACATGTATAAGTGTGTGTATTTATGTATATGTATATATATATACACATACCTGCATCTCCCTACATACAAGTTATTTTTCTCTTTCTCTTCCTTCCTTTTCTCCATCTCTTTCCAAAAAATTTTGAGAAGCCGCCCTAAAAGTCTGGCTTCCAGGTGTAAATAATCTCCCCGAGGACTCAAAACTTAATGATAGTAACTGCAATTATGCATCAAACTAAGAAAAAAATGTGTAATAAAGAAATAATCAAAGGAAATAATTAAAGAGAATTAATTACGTATGACTGGGGAAGAGTGGGAGGTGGCCTAAGTCTAAGTAAAGTCCTTACTTTCCCCAGTTAGGAATTGTGAACACAGAGCGTATACCTTATGTAACTAAACATCTGAAAATATATGAAATCCCTTATTGCATGAAACCCCATAATCTCCTTCTACTATTTTCTTCCCCCTCAGTGAATAGTCAGGGAAGAGTAGTAAGGGCTGGAAAAAAACAGAATCAAGTAATCCATGATTGCCTATAAGTCAACCCTCAAAAGTATGCTTGTATACCTGGACAACAAGGATGGTGACATCACAAAAATTAATAAAGTCACCATTCTCATTATAAAAGACAATCACATTTCAGAGTAAGAAGCAAAGTTAACAGGGCATCACGGTACAAAGCTCCTCACTTGTTGGTAACCCACTAAGAGAAAAACACTTTAAAGAAGCGCATAGAGTTGATCAACCTAAGTGGATGTGAGTCACTGTTTCCCAGTCATCTTGACTTTAACCTATGACTCATCAAGCTCCATACTGTCCTGTCTTCCTTCAAGTGCTTTGTGAATCAACACAGTTGTTTTTTCTTTTTTTCATTCTCCCCACTAACACCACATTCCAAGAACTCATTACTCCATACTTGGATTGCTATGATAGATTCTCCACTAGTTTTCCTGGCTCTGCTTTTCTCTTTTAATCAATTATAGATACTACCTAAATATGGTTTAATTCTTCCTGAAACTTTGAATTATTATTTGTGACTTTTCTAATATTTTATTTTTAACAGCTTTATTCACGATAAAAGTCAAGGCCAGGCACGGTGGCTCATGCCTGTAATCCCGGCACTTTGGGAGGTTGCGGTGGGAGGATCACTTGAAGCCAGGAGTTTGAGACCAGCCTAGACAACATAGTAAGGCCTGGTGCCTACAAAAAAAAAAAAGAAAAAAAAAAAAAGCCAGAAAAAAAATAGCCAGGCATGGTGGTGGCCTCTTGCATTTCTAGCTACTCAGGAGGCTGAAGCAGCGAACCCAGGGGTTTGAGGTCACAGTGAACTCTGTTAGCATCACTGCACTCCAGCCTGAGTGACAGAGCAAAACTGTTAAGGAAGGAAGGAAGGAAGGAAGGAAGGAAGGAAGGAAGGAAGGAAGGAAGGAAGGAAGGAAGGAAGGAAGGAATCAAAATCCACAATCTGTCAAAATCTAAGAAGGAAGGAAGGAAGGAAGAAAGGAAGGAAGGAAGGAAGGAAGGAAGGAAGGAAGGAAGGAATCAAAATCCACAATCTGTCAAAATCTAAGAAGGAAGGAAGGAAGGAAGGAAGGAAGGAAGGAAGGAAGGAAGGAAGGAAGGAAGGAAGGAAAGGAAGGGAGGGAGGGAGAAAGAAAGAAAGAAAGAAAGAAAGAAAGAAAGAGAGAGAGAGAGAGAGAGAAAGAAAGAAAGAAAGAAAGAAAGAAAGAAAGAAAGAAAGAAAGAAAGAAAGAAAGAAAGGAAAAGAAAAGAAAGAAAGGGACAAAGAAAAGAAAGATCAAAACCCACAACCTGTCAAAATCTCCAATCTCGCTGGGTTTCTCCAGCCTAAGGGGGTGGTCCCCACCATTCCTCTGGCACTCCATCTTCACTCCTGGGTTGTACCCAGACTTGTGACATACGTCTGCATAATAGGTTATATTTCTTCTCGTCGCCTTTCCAAACTCTGACTATCCTACTATTTTCAAAAATCCTTGTAGCTCACGTAGAAGTTTCCATTTTCAGAATCATATATCTCCGGGCAAGGTGTTGTATTTGAACGCTGAGGTTAAGACAAGATTATTAATGACCATAATGACCATAGTGTTCAGAAAGCTCTTTCCTAAACATTTGAGACTGTAAATAGGTTTCAGATGATGGGCAGAATTTGGACAAAGAGGGAATAGGCACAACTATTTCTCCTCTTATGAAAAGAGGAAGCTTAGATGGCTGGGCACGGTGTCTCACGCTTATAATCCCAGCACTTTGGGAGGCCGAGGCGGGCAGATCACAAGGTCAGGAATTCAAGACCAGCCTGGCCAATATGGTGAAACCCCGCCTCTACAGAGGGAAGAATGGTCAATATTTTTGTAAAAATACAAAAATTAGCCGGGCATGGTGGTGGGCGCCTGTAGTCTCAGCTACTGGGGAGACTGAGGCAGGAGAATCACTTGAACCCGGGAGGCGGAGGTTGCAGTGAGCCGAGATGGCGCCATTGCACTCCAGCCTGGGTGACAGAGCAAGACTCTGTCTCAAAGAAAAGAAAGAAAAAAAAAAAAGAAGAAGAGGCAGCTTAAGAAGGTGAGAAGGACTGGAGGACCCAATTTCAGACTGTCTTGATTCAAATTCTTTCTCCGTCACTTATTCTGTGTCACCATGGGCCAGTTACTTGCTATGAATTTGGTTCAATTTCCTCCTTACAGGTTGGTGGCAAGGATTATTTGGTCAGAACTTAGTAAATGTAAGCTATGCACAATATTATTAATAATAAACCAAAGCCATATCAATGATGTCAGATACTTCAGAAGTGCTAGCCAATAGGGAGGGATTAAAATACAAAAGCGAAGAAATGGATATCCTGGGGGATGAAGAAAGAGTCAGGACAGGGTGATAAATAGCCAGTGAATGTAATGATCAGGAGATTCTCCTACAGTGGTCCTTTCTATTAAAATCTCTTTCTTGACAACTTCATTTTCTCTCATCAGAGGATCAGCCCTTTGAGCCTGACATAGAGCCAAGTGCACTGTAATGGCAATTAGGATACTGATAACAATGGCTGGCTCATTGATAAGAACTGGGCAAAGAAGTTTTCCTATGTAGATTGATAATCCTCATCAAAACATCTTAATAATTAGATACTATCTTCCCCATTATGAAGTTAGGGAAATCAAGATGTGAGAAATTATTTGCTCAGTCACACAGCTAAACATTTGTAGAATTTCATGTAATCAGATGACTTCCACCTTTCAGTCTCTAGTAGAAAACTCTGCCCTGAATCCTATATTCCAATTTTCAACTTCTAGATGGATGTTTTTAAACTTACAATTGAAAACACCCAACATTTCACATATCTTTTTCCCCAATTTGTGTTTCTGTCTACTTTGTTCCTTCAAAAAATAATCTCTCCTTTCTCTGTACTCCCATAATCCTTGCTTCCTCTCTTTGGTACTTGCTACATTATGTCCTTGCTGCCCTATAATGGGTGACACAGATACAACAATGTACAGTTGACTACTTTAAGCAACATGAAGGCATTATTCCTTCCCCAGTGGTGGCCCATTGTCCAGCAGACATGGTGTGAGCAGCACCTGTAGTAGAACACAAATAAGCTAACTTCTCACAGTTATATTTTGCTGTGATGTCTTAAAAGGGATTTTCTAGTTGCTTCTAGAGTATGTTATATATTGTGTAGGAGGGAAAGAACTGAAAATGTGACTAACATATATAGTGGGATGGACTCAAGTCTGTGCATTTAGTAGAATTCTGGACATGAGGGAACTGTATAAACTATCATAACGTATAATACATTGCAAAGATTTATCTTTCAAAGGATGTGTTTTTCCAGATGTTTCTGCATAAGTATATGCATTTGATATTCCTGATGTGTGAAAATCAGTACTTTCTATTAATTACATTTCTTAGTTTACTTTATTGGTAAGAATGTCAATTCCATATTTAAGTCTCAGGGGTGCTGGGAAAGAGCAAAAAGTGGTACTTAACAATTTTCTATTAAGATTTAAGAAATCGGTGCAAAATTACCATATTATGGCTGTTGCATGTTTGTATATCTTCCATATTGTATAATCTTGAGAATGGGTAAATTTGTAACTCATACTTTGCTCTTGTGTGACAAGTAGATATTGATGAAACTGATATCTAAAGATAGAAACAATGCTTTTGCATAGACACACTAGTTGTGACTGTGTGTTAAGAAGAGCTATTTCTGGACGAGATGTAAATTTCTAAAAGAGTATAATGTTAGAGAATGCCTAAATGAGAGGTAGGGGATAAGAAGAGGATGAGCAGCCAATGCAGTGGTTGGGAAAAATAAAGCAGAGGTGTCAAAGGACAATCAGGAGAAATAAAATGCTTCCTTAAACCCTTTCCCCTTCTTCCCTCCCCTGCATCATCTGGGGATTAACACCCCCTGCCCCCAGCTTGACAAGGTTCTGTTGGTGTTTCCAATCATTGTGCATAGCCTTGTGGTCCCAGGGATGGGTATGGCCTTGGCCTGAGTAATCATGATGGAACAAAGTTGATCCCAACTAGAGTCCTTCCCAGAGATTTACAGTTACTGGAAAAGATAAATTCTCTTTTTCCATGATTCATAAACTGTTAAGAATGACTCAAGCTGCAAATAACCATTCATTCTGTGCCAAATGAAGTGTATCTATTTGTTGTAGGAGAAAAAGGTCCTAATACACAGAAAGAAACAGAAGGAGAGATGGAGATTACAAGAGTTCCATTAGTTCATGGCTTCAGTGACCAGGAATATCCATCTTCTTCCTATTTCTGTGAGCCAATACATTCTCTTTTTACTTAAGCAAGTTGGAGTTGGGCTTTTTATAACTTGTGACCCAAAGTTCTGATTGATATAGGAAACAGATGCCAAAGATGCCATATATGTTACTGTGAAATCAAGGAGATTGAAGACAGAAAAAGGATCATTTCCTTTGACTTTTAATCTTTAATAGTAATCTCTGAAAATGTAATCTCATTATACTACTATGGATAAAAGCTAGTTTTCAAGTGATTTATTAAATAACGTTTAGGACTATGGTAACATTTTAGACACATTCTCTTGATCCTCACCACCACCTCCCCCAAACACACACACTTAACAGAATCTCTAGATTTGTTCACAAATAATAAACTAAATTCCCAGTATTATATTCTATCTAATTCAAAGTTTAGAAAGGAAATTGTGAATATGAAGTACATAATAAATTTAACTTTTGTTCAGTGTAAGTATTCAGTTCAGTGACTAGGAAAGCAGTTCTGACTTATACACCCAAGAATATATTCCTTTGGAAGTAAGGTACTTAAAATAAAACTTTCATATGGGAAACATACATTCTCAGAACCCAAAACAACACTAGAAATTATCCTTTCTAATAGACCAAATAATAGTGAATTAAATACAGAGAGGGTTGAATGGCTCAGGTTGATGTTTGTTAAGATTTTTAAAGTACCCTACATATGAAAGATAATTCATGTAGCATAAATGGCTTAATAATAGGGAGACTAGAAAACTTATATATTGTGTGAAACAAAATATATTAAAGAACACGGAAAGAAACCATTTTTCTCAGTTGGGATTGTCATGTAAAAGGCAGATCTTTGCTCTGAGTTCTTTTGCTTCAGGTGGTGGAATTAATCGCTGCATTGCTCTCTGGGGTAAAGCAGGAATCCCTTTCTCACTCTCAGGACATTTTGTGCTAAAGAAACTTATTATGACTCAAAAGTAGGCTAATGTGCAAATTTAATAATTTCTTCACATAAAATACATTGTAGCCTGGATCTAAATCTAGATCAGTGGGCATGATACGCTTGCATTTTGTAAGTGAGAGTTAATCGTGCCCTTCCTTTTTTTTTTTTTTCTATGGCTGGTGACCTCCCTGAGCCAGCCTCTTGTAATGTTACAGTTTGGTACATTCTTATTCTCTGGCCATGAGCACTCAGGTTATTCACTATTGATAAAGAAAACTCCATTTCAGAGCCAGAGAGAAATTTTTTTTTATTCTTCACTAGACTTGTTACTTGTTTTAAGAAATTACAAATTTTGATTGAGTTCTCTGATATGAACACGTATCATAGCAATGTACTTGTTAAAGGGAAGGTTACACAGCACCAGGACATATATTTTAAGACATCCACTGTCTGACTTCTAAATGCTTAATTTTCTATTAAAACGATATCCAGTTAGATTGGTCATGGTTCATCAAAATGAAGTGATAGAAAATAATTTGAGACAAACACAACGAAAAAAATTCTCATTTGTAGCAGTTATTCCTGGAAATCCTTCTAGGTTTTTATAAATATATCAGTTATTATTTAAGAACTATTTGCTTTTATAACCCCTTTCCCAGAAACATTCCATTTGCAAATAGCACAAGATAGACACTGGTGTCATTGCACTAAAGGGAGAAAGAACAATGCTTCTGCATGAGAGGTTGAATATAATTAGAAAAACAGAATCTATAAACCACTTTGTAGCTTAAAAATTGACAAAAATTAAAAAGCATTACCTACTATTTTATTAAAGGCATGTAATACAGATAAAGTACATTTTATATCAACTGGTATCTTAAATGCTAAATAGTCCAACAATGAAGTCATCTCAGCACCTTGCCAAAAGTATGGACTATGACAAAATAATAAAAAATAAATTAACCTAGAAAATAAAACATTGTTTATATATGCCTATCGACAAAATATAAAACTAGGTTAAATTTAACAAATGTTTAAGGCCAAATAATTTAGTAGTATCTAAATGGGATAAATCTAATTTTTATTAACTTTGAAAAATGTCTAAGGCACATTGCTGGGTGAAAGATGCAAGATACAGAATAATACATATATGTGGAAAAATAAATTCATTAAAAATGTAATGTTTGAAACACATCTAATCTATTAACAGTGCTTCTGATGTTATCTCAGGAGAAGTAAATTGAAGAAAAAGGAGTTAGGAACAAAAGAAGAATTTTTCGTTTTACCCTGTGTTTCTTGTTTGTTTGTTGCAATATATTAAATCTTTTACATCAAGAATGTATTCTGTTATGATTTGGGTAATTATGACATTTTTTAACCAGTAATAAAATTTGGTCACATAACTATATCCTTACACATTTATCTGCAAATATGTACTTGTATGGAGATTTATTTTTATAAAGATTCTGATAGTTTATAAAGTTTACTTCCTCCAAGGAATATGGAGATGAACAAAGGGTTCCAAATCTCATTATAGGATATATATTCTATATATTTTGTAACTTCCCAAGTTTCCAGTATAATGTTCTACACATAGTGAAGATTGTTGACTAACAAAAAATAAAAATTAAAAAAAACTAAATAAAGGAATATGTCTTAGTAAAACTTGTTTTCAAAAAATAAATAGATTGATATGTTCCAAAGCTGTATACATCTGAGGAGGCTTTTTAAATTGCACCAAAAAAAGCTGTGCCATAAATTCTAAAAGCTAATTTTTAAGGTTAAGAGAAGCTCCTGAATTCATTCATTTATTTAATAAATAATTGTTGAGCATTTACTCTGGGCCAAATGTGATGGAAAATACTAGAGAGTCAATGGTGAGTGAGACCAAGTACCTGCTCTCATGGAACATGCACCTGAGATCAAACACAAAAGTAGTGCTGAAGATCCAAGAAGCCAAAGAAAATGGTGACATGATGCCATGCTGCGTTACCACCTGTGTTAGGTTTGATTAGGCCCATTTGGGGCCCAGTGTTAGGGTTAAGTATAGTTCAGAAACATGCAGTTGTAACATAGTGACAACTCCAAGAGAGCTTTAAATACCAAGGCCTTCCAACTCCACCTCCCATACAACAAATAAGAAACCCAGGGCAGAGCACTGTTCGCCTCCTTCCCCACCACCCACAACCTACCCCCACCCCCACCACTGCAACACCAAATTTTAACTGCTGTCTATACACAGAAAAGCACCATCACCAAAAGCATAAATCATGTACTAGCTAGGCCACAGTGAGGTAGAGCTATAAGCAGGATCTTGAGGTCCCTGAATCCAAGCCTGGGATCTCAGACAGTATTTCAGGGCCTGACCTGGGCCAGGGTGGAGCCCACTGCCCTGAAGAGTGAGGCCCAGGCCTGGCAGCATTCAACCCAAGCTGATGGAAGAGCCCTTGAGCTTTAAGCAAACATTGACAGTGGCTTGGCAGAACCCCTTGTGGAGTAATGGCGGTGGTGGTGGCCACAGGGAGAGACTCTTCTGACCATGGAAAGGGGAGGAAAGAGTGGCAAGGACTTTGCATTATGGTTTGAGTGCCAGCTTAGCTGCAGTAGAATAGAACATCAGGTAAATTGCTAAAGTTTTTGACTCCAATTCCTGGCTCTCAGACAGTATCTCTGGGCAGACTCAGGACTGGGGGAACTCGCCACTATGAAGGAAAGGGCCTTGGGCAGGGCCCAGTACTGTACTGCTTCAGGTCTGACCCAGAGCAATACCAGTGGTGATGGCCACAGGGGTGCTTGCATCACCACACCCTCAGTTCCAGGTGGCTCATCACAGAGAAAGAGACTCCATGTTTGGGAAAAAGTAGGAGAAAAGAATAAGAGTCTTTGCCTAGCAATCCAGACACTTCTTCCAGACCTTATCCAAGACCACCAAAGCAGTACCTCTTCGAGTCTGCAAAAACCACAGCATTATTAGGCCTGGGTTTGTCTATGTGGAAAGCCTTCCTGAAAAGGACAGGCACAGACAAGCCCAAACTGTGAAGACTACAATAAATACCTAACTCTTAAATGCCCAGATACTGAAAAACATCTATAAGCATCAGCAACATCCAGGAAAACGTAACCTCACCAAATGAACTAAATAAGGCACCAAGGACCAATCCTGGACAAACAGATATGCGACATTTCAGACAGAGAATTCAAAACAGCTGTTTTGAGGAAACTCAAAAAAATCCAAGATAATACAGAGAAGGAATTCAGAATTCTGTCAGATAAATTTAACAAAGAGATTGAATTAACTCAAGAGAATCAAGCAGAAATTACAGAGTTGAAAAATGCAACTGCTGTACTAAACAATGAGTTGGAGTCTCTTAATAGCAGAACCACTCAGAGAAGAAAGAATTAGTGAACTTGAAGAGAGGCTATTTGAAAATACACAGTCAGAGGAGACAAAATAAAAAGGAATTAAAAAAAGAAGCACACCTCAAGATCTCAAAAATAGACTAAAAGGGTAAATAGAAAAGTTATTGGATTTAAAAGAGAAGTAGAGAAAGAGATAAGAGTGGAAAGTATATTCAAACGGCTAATAAGAAATAACTTCCCAAACCTAGAGAAAGACATCAACATTCAAGTACAAGAAGGTTATAGAACAGCAAGTAGATTTAACCCAAAGAAGACTACATCAAGGCATTTATTAATCAAACTCCCAAAGATCAAGGATGAAGAAAGGATGCTAAAAGCAGCAAGAGAAAAGAAACAAGTAACATACAATGGAGCACCAGTATGTCTGGCAGCACACTTGTCAGTGGAAACTTTACAGGCCAGGAGAGAATGATAAGACATATTTAAAGTGCCAGGATAAAAAAACAAAACAAAACAAAACAAAAACAAAAAAAACAAAAAAAAAACCTTTTACCCTAGAATAGTTTATCTAGAGAAATCCATTAAGCATGAAGAAGAAATAAAGAACTTCCCAGATAAACAAAAGCTGAGGGATTTTATCAACACCAGAGCTGTCCTGCAAGAAATGCTAAAGGGAGTTCTTCAGTCTGAAAGAAAAGGATCTTAGTGAACAAGAAGAAATAATCTAAAGCTATAAAACTCACTGGTAATAGTAAGCACACAGAAAAACACAGAATAGTATAACAATGTAATTGTGGTGTGGAAACTTCTCTTGACTTAAGTTCAAAGGCTAAATGATGAACCAATCAAAAATAACAACTACAACAACTTTTCATGACATAGTACAATAAGACATCAAGAGAGATGAAAAAAGTTAAAAAGTGGGGTGGGGGCTGAGTTAAAGTGTAGAGTTTATATTAGTTTTCTTTTTGCATCTTTGTTTATGCAATCGGTGTTACCAGTTTAAAATAATGGATTATAAGATAGTATTTGCAAGCCTCATGGTGACCTCAAATTGAAAAATAAAGCAAGAAATTAAAGCCTACTACCAGAGAAAATCACCTTCACTAAAAGGAGGACAGGAAAGAAGGAAGAGAAGACTGCAAAACCACCAGAAAACAAATAACAAAATGACAGAAGTAAGTCACTACTTATCAAAAATAACATTGAATGTAAATGGACTAAACTCTCCAATTAAAAGACATGGAGTGGTTGAACGAATACAATAAAAAACAAGACCCAGTGATCTGTTGCCTACAAGAAACACACTTCACCTATAAAGATACATATAGACTGAAAATAATGAGTTGGAAGAAAATATTCCCTGTAAATGGAAACCAAAACAGAGCAGTAGTAGCTATACTTACATGAGACAAAATAGATTTTAAGACAAAAACTAAAAAAAGAGACAAAGAATGTCATTATATAATGATAACGGGGTCAATTCAGCAAGAAGATATAGCAATTTTAAATATATATGCACTCAACACTGGCACACCCAGATATATAAAGCAAATGTTATCTCTCCTAAACAGGGAGATAGACACCAATACAATAATAGCTGGATACTTCAACACCCCACTTTCAGCATTGGACAGATCTCTCAGACAGAAAATCAACAAAGAAACATTAGACTTAATCTGTACTAAAGAACAGATGGACTTAATAGATGTTTATAGAACATCTCGTCCAATGACTGCAGAATATGCATTTTTCTCCTCAGCACATGGTTCATTCTCAAGAATAAAGCATATGTTAGGTCACCAAATGAGTCTTAAAATATTCAAAATAGTTGAAATAATACCAAACATCTTTTCTGACCACAATAGACTAAAACTGCAAGTCCATAACAAGAAGAATTTTGGAAACCATAAAAACACATGGAAATTAAACAATATGTTCCTGAGTGACTAATGGGTCAAGGAAAAAATAAAGAAGGACATTGAAAAATTTCTTGAAAAAAATGATAATGAGAACACAATATATGAAAACCTGTTGGATACAGGGAAAACAGTACTAAGAGGGAAATGTATAGCTGTAAGTGCTTACATCAAAAAAGAAGAAAAGCTTCTAATAAATAATCTAATGATGCATCTTAAAGAAATAGGAAAGCAAGAGCAAACCAAACTGAAAATTAGTAGGAGAAAATAAACAATAAAGATCAAAGCAGAAATAAATGAATTTGAAATGAAGAAAACAATACAAAAGATCAACGAAACAAAAAGTTGGTTTTTTTAAAAGATAAACAAAATTGACACACCTTTATCTAGACTAAGAAAAAAGGAGAGAAGACCCAAATAATTAAAATCAGAGATAAAAAAGGAGACATTACAACTGATACTGCAGAAATTCAAAGGATCATTAGTGGCAACTATGAGCAACTATATGCCAATAAACTGGAAAATTTTTTTAAATGGATAAATTCCTAGACATATAAAACCTACCAAGACTAAACCTTGAAGAAATACAAAACCTCAACAGACCAGTAACAATTAATGAGATTGAAGCTGTAATAAAAAGTTGACTAGTAGAGAAAAGCCTGGGACCCAATGGATTCACTGCTGAATTCTACCAAACATTTAAAGAACTATTACTAATCATACTCAACTGTTCTGAAAAATAGAGGGTGAGGGAATACTTCCAAACTCATTCTACAAGGCCAGTGTTACCCTGATATCAAAACCATACAAAGGCACATCAAAAAATAAAACTACAGGCCAATATCTCTGATGAATATTGATGCAAAAATCCTCAATAAAATACTAGCAAACGAAATTCAACAATACATTAAAAAGATCTTTCATCGTAACCAACTTAGATTTATTCCAGGGATGCAAGGACGGTTCATCATATGCAAATCAATCAATGTGATACATCATATCAACAGAATTAAGTACAAAAACTATATGATTATTTCAATTGATGCTGGAAACACATTTGATAAAGGTCACCATCCCTTCATGATAAACATCCTAAAAAAAATGGGTATAGAAGGAACATACATCAACAAAATGAAAGCCATATATGACAGACCCACCTCTAGTATCATAGTGAATGGGGAAAAACTGAAAGCCTTTCCTCTAAGATTGGGAACATAGCAAGGATACCCACTGTCACCACTGTTATTCAACATAGTACTGGAAGTCTTAGCTAGAGCAATCAGACAAGAGAAGAAATAAAGGGCATCCAAATTGAAAAGGAAGAAGTTAAATTATCCTTGTTTGCAGATGATATGATCTTATATTTGGAGAAACCTAAAGACTCCACTAAAAAGTTATTAAAACTGATAAACAACATTAGTAAAGTTGCAGAATACAAAATCACCTAATGAAAATCAGTAGCATTTCCGTATGCCAACAGTGAACGCTGAAAAACAAATCAGAAAAGTAATCCCATTTACAATAGCCACAAATTAAATTAAATACCTAGGAATTAACTGAAGAAGTGAAAGATATTCACAATGAAAACTATAAAACACTGATGAAAGAATTTGAAGAGAACACAATAAAATGGAAGATATTTCTTGTTTATAGATTGGAAGAATCAATATTGTTAAAATGTCCATACTACTCAATCTACAGATTTGATGCAATCTCTATCAAAATACCAATGACATTCTTCACAGAAAGAGAAGAAAGCAATCCTAAAATTTATATGGATCACATAAGACCTAAAAGAGCCAAAGCTATTCTAAGCAAAAAGAACAAAACTGGAGGAATCACGTTACCTGACTGCAAATTGTACTACAAAGCTATTGTAACACAAACAGCATGGTACTGGCATAAAAACAGACACATAGACCAATGGAACAGAACACAACCCAAAAACAAATCCATACACCTACAGTGAATTTATTTTTGACAAAGATGACAAGAACATACACTACAGAAAAGACAGTCTTTTCAACAAATGGGGCTGGGAAAACTTAATAGGCATGTGCAGAAGAAGGAAACTTGACCTTTATCTCTCACCTTATACAAAAATCAAATCAAAATGAGTTAGATACTTAATCTATGATCTCAAACTATGAAACTACTTCAAGAAAACATTGAAGGAACTCTCCAGGACATTGGTCTGGGCAAAAATTTCTTGAGTAATACCCCATTAGCACATGCAACCAAAGGAAAATGGACAAATGAAATGATATCAATTTGAAAAGCTTCTGCACAGTGGAGGAAACAATCAACAAAGTGAAGAGACAACCCATAGAATGGAAGAAAATATTTGCGAACTACCCATGTGACAAAAGGTTAATAACCAGAAAATAACCAGCTCAAACAACTCTATAGAAAAAAATCTAATAATCTGATTTAAATATGGGAAAAAGATTTGAATAGACATTCCTCAAAGAAAGACATACAAATGGCAAATAGGCATATGGAAAGGTACTCACCATGAATGATCATCAGAGAAATGCAAATCAAAACTGCAATGAAATGTCATCTCACCCTAATCAAAATAACTTTATCCTAAAGACAGGCAATAACAAATGGTGGTGAGGATTTAGAGAAAAATGATTTCTTGTACACTGTTGGTGTGAATGTAAATTAGTACAACCACTATGGAAAACAGTTTGTAGGTTCCTCAGAAAACTAAAAATAAAGCTACCATATGATCCAGCAATCCCAGTGTTGGGTGTATACCCCCCAAAAAATCAGTATATCGAAGAGATATCTGCTCTCCCATGTTTGTTGCAGCACTGATCACAATAGCCAAGATTTGGAAGCAACCTAAGTGTCCATCAGCAGATGAATAGATAAATAAAATGTGGTACTTATACACAATGGAGTACTATCCAGAATCTCATTCTAAAAAAGAATGGATTCTGTCATTTGCAACAACATGGATGTAACTGGAGGTCGTTATGTTAAGTGAAATAATCCAGGCACTGAAAGACAAACTTGGCATGTTTTCACTTATATATGGGATCTGAAAATCAAAACAATTGAACTCATGGAAATAGAGAATAGAAGGATGGTTACCAAAGACTGGGAAAGGTAGTGGGGGAAGCAGGGTGAGGGAGTGGGAATGGTTAGTGAGTACAAAAAAATAGGTAGAATGAATAAGACCTAGTATTTGATAGGACAACAGGGAAACTATATTCAATAATAATTTAATTGTGCATTTTAAAATAACTGAAAGAGTATAATTGGATTGTTTGTAAAACAAAGGATAAATGCTTGAGGGAATGGATACCCAATTTTCCATGATGCAATTTTCCATTTTTGCATTGCATACCTGTACCAGAATATCTCATGTACCCCATAAATATATACACCTATGAACCCACAAAAAATTAAAAAAGTAAAAAATGAAACTCATTTAAGATCACTAATGAGTCTCTCAAGTACAAGTATTGATGAAGATCCAACTCATAATGTACAAACGCTTTTCTAATAATGACATAAATAGAATACGTTTTTTAAAAGCCAATAATTCCATAGAATTCAGTCATTTTAATAAAATTGGATGTTTGAATACCTACTACACCCAAAATTTGTGTTGAAATATTTTATAGTACTGTCTCCTCATGTCCAGATGCCTCCAGTTGCACTAGTGTACAGTGCAGTGTTAGTGAAAGATAACGCTGAGATGTTAACGCATGTATTTTTCATCCAGATGTTTTAATTGCACACAGACACCATTGCTGACTATTAGCACTGATGACTGAAGAAAGGCATTGCTTTTCAGTGTGAAGGTCAATTTTAGATTTTTAAAATATCTTTTCATTTTCGTCTCATTTCATTTTATTCTGTGTTATTTTATGACAAGAAAATGAAACAAAAGGAAAGGGAAGTTTACACACATTTTATTTTAAGTTACAGTTTATATGAGCATCAAACATGAGTGTTTTATTTAATTCTTTGGGTTGATACTTTTCTGGTTTCCTGAAATATAATACCCATTAATCCCTGTTTGCAGACACCTTGAAATATTTATTGAATAATACAATACAGATTCTAAAACATAATCTTCTTTTATGAATACTGGCACATTTTCACCCAGCTCTGTGGAAGATTTAAGAAAAATGGCAGGGCAAGATCAGACATTGTTTACATCTCACCTCCAGCAAGATATAACTTTACTCTTGGCTGACCTTTAAGTAAAAGCAATGGTTATGTAACCAAGTAAGCTAAAAACTAAACAGGAAAAGACAAGCAAGGGGTCACAGAGCTGGGAATGAACTACAAACTTACTCTATTTGTTAAACTTAGATTTTTATCATGTTGCTCAAAGAAACACTAAAGTTTTCCAAATGGGAAAATATGACCAATATTTTATTTTTGCTATCTGAATGTATACATAAATATTTCAGTATTTAAGTTACTTATAAGTCCACTATAAAATGTTTTGCAGTATTTTGTAATGTCAAGCAGTATTACCCATTGTCAAAATACAATTTTTGAACAAATTGCATTCTATCTTTATATAAAATTGGTTATAATTGAAGCCCATGCTACATTGTTCCTGAAGCATACATTCTCAGGTTGTTTTGAAATTAAACAGGTTTATCATTCAGAAGTTTTAAGTCCAGCCTTATCAAGGGGCATAAGAATTACTTCTTAAACCCTTTTTCCAACTTCATTATTTCCAGCATATAAATCAAGATAATAATAGCTATATCATATGTTCAATAGGAAAAAAAATATTGCCTATGAGAAAAAGATAAAATAAAAGGAGTGATACAACCTAGAAATATGCTAAGGTTTGAAACATCTTGTTTTCAGTAACATAAAAAATATTTTAGCAAATTAAGTCTTATTTTGATGTCCCCATAGTAAGTATCTTTAAGTGTTTGACAGAATTTAGTAGTCATTTAGTATATTTTTATTTTTATATGTAATTGAATCTTTAATATGAGTATTTTCTAGCATAATTTAAACAATGAGGCTGTAACATAAGTTGCTACTAAGGGGATATGAAAAGAAAGCTGGAGAACAAGAGAAAAAATGCACTGAAAATGTATGAACTGAGTAATGTTGGGTGTTGGTGGTGTATATTAGAAGATGAACAGGACACAGATTGCTTACAATCTGGTGGGGAGATACAGACATAACGTAAACAATTAAAATACAGTGGACAAGTAGTAAAAGTGGGGAAATCATATCCAAGTATCTAGCAGCAGGGATACCTAAGTGAGTTCTGGTAGAGGAAAGGGTCACTGGGCAAGATTTCTTATCTAAAAAGGAAGGACAATGAGTCAATAGAAATACAAAATCCATTGTAAAAATAAAGACAGCTTCCTACAACTAAAGCAATGGATTATTCAGAAGGGGAATGGTGAGGCTAAAGAAGGAAGCAAACCTGGAAGAAATCTTAGCCATGTTAAATAGTTTAAATTTCTTCTAAAAGAATAAAAAATAAAGTAGACCAACAACCACCCCAAAGGGTTTTAAATGGGCATTTAAAAAGGTTTGTATTACATTTTGGGATGGTCTTTCCGGTTACATTTGGAGAATGAGTGGAAATAGCATAAGACCACAAAATCCAGGAGAAGAATTGGGTTCGGAGCCTATGATGTTAATTCAGGGGAGTGGTTACAATAACACTGGGGGAGAAGGGGAGCAGATAGACTTAGGGGCTATTTAGGAGATAGCGTATTAAAATGCTCATTGAGGAAAAACAAGATGGTCATGGCATTCACTGAAATATGAATATGGAAAGAGGACTACGTATAAGGAGGGATAATGATATAGTTTTATACATACTGACCTCTTAAAAAGCCTGGATGTGGATGACAGATAAGCAATTGGATACATAAGGAAGCATTATGGAGTCTTGATATATACATGAGATTTTTTAAAATTGCTATCTTTCACATAAATACATATGCAACTCAATAAACACCACCATCTAAATACATTACATATCATGCTTTTCCTAAAGTAATAATATTCTAATTAGGAAGGCAGATAATGATGTGACCAGAATACCCTTTTGGGAGAGGGAATTGGAAGAGTATCAATGAAATTTAAACATTTTAAAAAAGGAATATAATAACATTAGACTGAGAATGAGAAATCTAATGGGGCTACATACAGAATGTATCCTTCATTAAAGACACAAAATGTGGCTGCTGTTTTGCTGTTGCTCTGTTGTGTGTGTGTGTGTGTGTGTGTGTGTGTGTGTGTGTGTGTGTGTGTGTAGTCAGTGGTCCTAATAAGATCTCTCAGCTTTTACAGTGTTATAAGGCAATTTTTATGAAAAACCAGATATAACTATCTATTTCCCATGGAGGAAAGATCCATAAATTACAGCTGAGGTTATTTGTCAGTTATGTAGTTTAAAAATTCTTTGGCAGATAGGATTAAAGTGTGAGAATTGATCCTGAACTCCAGCTGAGGGGCCTGAGAAATTATAGAGATAATATGTTCAGTACAACATCTCCTGCTGCCCAATTTAAAGGTGCTGGGTAGGAGGTCAGTGGAAAGGGAAGGCAGTTGGATGGCACTATTTGAAATATTTTAAATAAATGTTTTGTAAGAGACTAAAGTATTATGTAAAGGAATGAAAATTTTTTTCTAAGCAGAATCTTTATCCAATCATTTGATTTATGAATGAGAGATTTCACTTAGAGTCTTGGGGCTTCCAGTCAATCCAGTCTTCAGCTGAGCATTCTCTTCCATGGTATAGTTTTTAATGCCTTGTCTATTTAAAAAAATGACTAATAAGAAAGGTTGTATTTTTTTCCTACAATTTTCTCAGCAAAATCTTCTGTGATCTAATAATTCTCACATAGAGAAAACTGTTTACAACTTTCTGCAGGGATAGCTAATCTTTTTATGTCATAGTCACTGCTCAGAAGCAGTCCTAAACCTCTTACGGATCCTAACAATGTTATACCATAAATTGGCTAGCTGAAGAAAAGCAAGATAAAATGTATGGTATCTCTAGATTTTTTTTTTTTTTGGAACAGCCAGGTATCCAGGAATCAAATGATTAACTACATACAAAAGCTGGAGTTGCATGATTGATTTGTTCCAGAAAGAATTTAGGTATTTACAAATGTGCATATGGTGTAGCAAAATAAAAATAATTTCAAACTTACAGGAAAAATGAGAGAAAAAGAACATAAAGCAGGAAAGGAAGGAGATGCCAGAAATAAGGGCAAGACACAGATTCATGACGTGGAGTCCACTTGTTAGAGGTGAACTCAAAATGTTCTCTAAGCTTGTAACATCAAGGGAAATCATATTTAATGATGTGGTTGACAGTATCCACCAGGAAAAAATGAAGCACTAGTGCAGAAGTCCGTCAAATTTTGATTTGCAATCTGAGAGGAAGAGAGGGGAATCTTTATTTTAAAATGAACAGCAAGTTCCCATCATTACAGGAGACATAGCGAGGAGCTTCCACCATTGTATCTAATGATGTCCCTCTTCAAGGCAGATGGCATAATGTAAGAGGAATCTCAAGAGTGAGAGAGAATTGGGTTTCAAATTACCAATATAACTCTTAGCCAGTAAAGATTGATAGCCCCAAGATCACTATAGTTTGTTACTTATTGAAAAACAGAAGGTAATAAAATAAACAGTATGGTATGCAAAGCTTTAATGTTGTGCTTAACAAGCAGGAGTGGCCAAAGTTACAAAAGGTCTTGGATATTAAACTGTGACGGAGTGGAAAGAGCACTGGACTGGGAGTCAAAGCCTGAGTTTGAGTTCCAGCTCAGCTAACTTTTAACAGTACAATTTTGCTGGGCAGGTTACAGATGATCCTATGGAGGCTCAGATTCACATTTGTAAAAAGGGGTCGGTAATAGCAATTTGGAAGGTTTATGTAAAGATCAGGCAAATTATTTTGCATAAAAGTTGTTTCTCTGCATTATCTGAAATAAACTTTTCTTTATATTATCTGAAAAATCCTTTAAATATGTAGTTGGAAGATGTTTTCAAGTATACTGAAAATTGTTTCAAACCTACCCCAAATGATAACTTATCTTTATGTGACTTTATAAATAGCTATATGAAGAAAGCCCTTTTGAAATATATTTTAATTATTATTAATAATACCTGCAATTATTTGAGATCCCAGAATGTGAAAATTAATCTATTAATTACTTGACATGTTTCATCTTATGTAACTAATACAATATTTATGAATCAAGTCTTATTCATCTACCCATTTTACAAGTTGTGAAATTAAAGAGGTGAAGTTACTGAGCAGGGGTTAGATGTGAAGTTTGTCCAGAAAGAGGACAAAATTAAGAGAAATTCTATGCTGAAGGAAAAGAAGATAAGTACTTAAATATAGAAATTATCTGTTGCACAATAAGATTGGGCGCTTTTAAGGTATAAAGTTACATTAAATGGTTATTGGTACTTGTTGATACCAGGTGTGAAATTCCTTTACAAGAACATATTTAAAGGCCAATTTTAGAAACCATGTTTGGTATTTGGTAAAAGTTTTCAGATAATTCACAGAACATTCCAATCCTTAGTCTTCAAAACCCAGGAGCCCAGGGCATTCATCTGTAATGTCCACCACTGATAGAGCCAGGCACCACTGGGAGCTTGTACCAGGGCCCTCCAAAGGCTACCTCACAATTCAACAGTGATGATACCCATGCTCACCTCTTACATAGTCATTTATTTTTTGCTACATATATTTTGAGAATAATCTTTTTTTTCTTTCAAACCAGAAAGACTGTTTTTAAATCATCCCAAATGAAAACTCGTTTTTATGTAAAATCACAACTGGTTGTTAGAATGAGCACCATTTGCTTTCTTCATTTTTGGGGCAAATTTTGGTCCAAGCAAAGAGACCCATGGAAATAAAGATCTACTTTGCTTTCAGTCCAGAGATTCTGAAAATCCAAAGAAACAGCAAAATCGGGTGTTGAATAATAAAAAGCACTAAAGGAATGTAAGAATTATTATTTTACCTTGAATAGCAAGATTTTCTATGAAACTATAACAGGCCAAATTAAATGCATATTATGTTTTATATAAATATAAATGAAATAAAATAAATATATAAACAAATGTATAAAATATAAATACTTTATAATAAATATTAAGAATAGCATTGAAACATATATCAACAATAATTTAATGATTTTTATTGATTCATTATCTTTAAATGTCTGAGGAATATTAATTTGTTTATAAGTTACGACTTGTATAAAAGCCATTTGCACAGGAGGTTGGTTCTGTTCTGTTCCCATCATCACCCAGCTACCTTTATTTGCTAGAAGAAATCCGTCATTTATTGCTAGGAGCTGAGAATCAAAACAGAAAGAATGTTCAGACCCTAGAGACTTAATATCTAATTGCAGCAACAGTATGGATGTTTAAAAGAGAAGGAAGAATAAATAACAATACAATTTTGCATGTCCTAAATTCCAAATGGAAGATTATCTGTCTTTCTAATTCTGAGGTCATATCAGCCAGCTCTGTGTTGATTTCTAAAGGATTCCAAGAGAAAACTAACATTATTTAAATATGCAGATAATTAGTAGAATAGAATTTCAGAGGATGGAACAATAGTGATGTACCTTTTGAAGGCCTCAGATTTCAAATTGCTTGCTCTTCCCTTGCTTCTCAATGAGGGAGAAATAGAATGGTTTCCATAATAATTTATAAGTTCCATTATTTGGGGTTCATTCAAATAAGGTTTTGCTATAATAAGAAAATGATAATTAGATTAAAGAGGTTTGATTTTGAATTCAATGACATTTTTACCACCCAAGACAAAGAAGGGTGAGTTATCTGACTACCTGAATCAACATTCATGTCTTTTTACTGGCAGGAAGATTTGGCCTAAATCAATTCCCTATTTCACTTTGAAAAATGAGAGAGGGGGGTAGAGATAACTTTAGTTATGTTCTATGTGTAAAACTATTAACAGAAGTCTCTGATTGAGTAGATTAAAAAATACAAAAATATCTTAACGTTGGTCAAAGTATTAAAGCATTTTATTTTATGGGTAGAACTTAACACTAGAGTTAAATTTCTTACTAGCATTTTACAATAGTAAATGTAGATAATATGTCACTTTTAAGCATGTAGAACATCTGTCAAAATGAAGAGTTCAGGAAAACAGGGTAGTATAATGGTTAAATGCTCAAGTCCTGGCATTAATGTGCCTAGATATGAACCCCCTAACATAAAAGTATGTCCTTCAATGACGTATTTTTTCTCTCTAATGCCCTAGTTTTATCATCTATAAATGGGAATGCTGCAGTTTAAATGCATATGTCCCTCCAATATTTATGTTGAAATTGATCACCAATGTGATAGTGTTAAGAGGTGGGGCTTTAGGGGGTGACGAAGTCATGAGGGCAGAGCCCTCAAAAATGGGATTAGTACCCTCATAAAAGAGACTGAACGCAACACTAGTGTCTCTTTTGTCCTTACATTACTGCTTCCAGGTAAGGACACAGCAACAAGGCACCATCTATGAAAGAGATGCCAAATCTACTGGCAGTTTGATCTTGGACTTTCCAGCCTCCAGAACCATTAGAAATAAATATCTATTATTACACATTACCCAGTCTTAGGTATTTGGTTATAGCAACACAAACAGACTAAGGTAGGGAATAATAACAGTACCTTCTCCATAAAATAACCATAAGGATTTAGTTAGAGAATATATGAGGAAGATGCTTAGCATGAAAATAACAATAAATGTTAGCTATTATTGATAGCCAATAATTTAGAATACATTTAACATTTTCCTTGTAGTCTTGAAACAATGACTCTCAATCTCATCTGGGTTAGCTTTTTTGGAATCATCTGGGTTAGCTTTTTTTAAAATTATAATATCTGCTCTTACCCCTAGAGGTTTTGATTAAATTAGTGTCCAGTGAGTTACAAGAGTTCCCCAGCTAATTATAGCATGCAGCCAGAGTTGGAAAGATTTGGTCCAAATATTCCCATGCAGACATGTAGCACTACACCCCTCTGTCAGCATCTGAGCCAGTCATTTCTCCAAACTACATTCTATGTAACACTATTGCAACAAGTTGTTTCCTAAAAATAAATAAATAAGAAGTAACTTAACATGGACAGATGCACAGGCAACTAAACTTGATGTTGTGTATATGTCTTAGAGATTCATTTTTCACAATAGCAAAATAGCAATTAAAAGATCTAAGTCCTACCTTAAATAAATTTATTTATTTATTTTTTATTTTTTTTTTATTTTTTTTTTAGATGGAGTCTCGCTCTGTCACTCAGGCAGGCTGGAGTACAGTGACACAATCTCAGCTCACTGCAACCTCCACCTCCCAGGTTTAATTGATTCGCCTGCCTCAGCCTTCTGAGTAGCTGATATTACAGGTGCATGCCACAATGCCCAGCCAATTTTTGTATTTTTAATAGAGACAGGGTTTTACCATGTTGGTCAGGCTAGTCTCAAACTCCTGACCTCAGGTGAGGCTAAGGTCAGGAGGCTGACCACCCACCTCAGCCTACCAAAGTGCTGGGATCCCAGGCATGAGCCACCACACCCAGCCAAATTTGTTTATTTCTGATGAATTCAGATTTCCCCAAAATCTTTTGTAATAAGGAAATGCTTCCTTAAGGAATGTTTAGCTTTCTGCTCAACCACATAGGGATTTGTACAACCCTATGTCAGTCTAGCAGCTTTGTACAACCATATGGGGTAAGCATCTCCAATTATTAGTCTGTTGGCTACAATATCAATTAATTAATATAGATAATCAATATACATATTAACAGCTGCTAGTCCTAAATACTGAGGATTTAAGGCTAAAAGTCACAGGGTGTAGCTATCTGAATTATGTATGATGTCTTTTTTTTTTTCCAAAATCACAGGTATCTTGACTTCATACAAGACCTACTACTCTATGCGAGCAGACCTGCCAATATGTATTCTTTAACATTTCACTGGAAGTCTAATAATGACTTGGGTTTGGAAATCACTGATTTATAACCTAGCCTTTCATAGTAAACCTTCGAGCTCCCATCTATTTTGCAAAAAAATCAATGAAGAAAACAAAGCTAGAGAAACCACTGACTAACCCAAGGAAAAGGAAGGAAACAAAGGATAGATGACAAAAGAGAAGAAGGAGGGCACCATGAAAATGCAGCAGAGCTGCCCAGTGCGTGTGTGTAATGCATGTGTGTGTGCATGACTGTGAGTGTGCATGCGTGTGTGTGTGTGTGTGTGTAATGAGACCGATGACATTGTATGGAGGGGGAGCAGGAAAAGAGGCATGCTTTGAATCGATCATAGGCTGAGGAGAAACAGAGCTCTCTTTTATGCGAAAGTAATGACAAATTCCTGGCCTTTAGCTAAAGATACTGAGAGAAGTGGAAGTATAGGGAAACTGCAGGAAGAATAAAATAATGATCAACTTGGGAGTTGAATAGTTTAAGACAAGAAACTTCAAACTTAAATGGCCATAGGAGTTAGTTAGTTTGGAGTCCCCAGCGTCTGTGAGTTCCATCTTTATGTTCATGTGCACCCATTGTGTAGCTCCCACCTGTAAGTGAGAATATACAGTATTTTATTTTCTGTTTCTGAGTTAGGTCACTTAAAATAATGGCCTCTAGGCCCGGCGTGGTGGCTCACGCCTGTAATCCCAGCACTTTCGGAGGCCAAGATGGGCAGATCACCTGAGATCAGGAGTTTGAGACCAGCCTGGCCAACATGAAGAAACCCCATCTCTACTAAAAGCCACAAAAATTAGCCAGGCATGGTGGCAGGCACCTGTAATCCTGGCTACTAGGATTGCTTGAACCCAGGAGGCGGAGGTTGCAGTGAGCTGAGATCACGCCAATCACTCCAGCCTGGGCAACAGAGCCAGACTACATCTCAAAAAAAGAAAAATGGCCTCCAGCTCTATCCATGTTGCTGCAAAGGACATGATTTCATTCTTTTAATGGCTGCATAGTATTCCACAGTGGATATACACCAAATTTTCTTTATCTGGTTTAACTGCTGATGGACACTTAGGTTGGTTCCATGACTTTGCTATTGTGAGTAGGGCTGCGATGAACGTATACATGCAGGTGTCTTTTTTATATAATGATACCTTTTCCTTTGTATAGATACCCAGTAGTGGGATTGCTGGTTCTATGTTAGCCGTTTGAAAACTTTCCATACTGTTTTCCATAGAGGTTGAACTAATTTACCTTCCCACCAGCAGTGTGTAAGTGTTCCCCTTTCTCCACATTCACGCCAACATCTGTTGCTTTTTAACTTTCTAATAATAGCCATTCTGACTGGTGTAAGATGATCTCATCTTTAATTTGCATTTCCCTGATTATTAGTGATGTTGAGCATTTTTTCATTTGTTAGTTGGCCACTTGAATACAACACTTTTAAAGGCGATGTCTTGTTGGGTCCCAGCTTTTACATTTTGGGGGTTCTTTATAGATTTGTAACTCTTTGGTAATATGCTTAACCACACCTCAGATTAAAGGGTAACTTTCTAGATTTGATCCAGATAAATTCTCATGTCACTATTAGGATTTTGTGGGAAATAGGTGCCTATTGTCCAAACATGAAAGTTATGGTTCTGAGAATACAACTTCAACTTAGAGAGACACATAAATCTCAACACTGATGTTGGAATTTGGGGGAAGAAAACCAGATTTATGTAATGTTATGTATAATTTTCAAAATTCAGTTGTAAAGTTGTAAAATCAAAACTAATTTTAACCTCAACCTCTATGGACATCTAGTTTGGATAGAGAGATGTCAGTGTTGGAGCTACTCAAATTGGTTTAGGGATGCTGCCCCATACAGCCACAGAAATGGAAGCCCTGGGACATGGCTGCCCTCTTGTGGCTTGCAATTAAGCAAGCTTTGGAACCACTCACAGTGGCTTCGCTCTGCCAGAAACCAAAGAATTTTAGGCAATATTGTGCCTGGAATAGGAGCAGAGACTTAAATTTCTGGGTAGTTCATGGAATCCACATGTTGAAATCATGTTAGGCCCTGAATGTTGAGAAAGCATGGGCTTAAGTGAAAGTCTATTAGAAGGATTTCCAACCTAAAGTGATTGTGACTTGATTTCCTTGGAAGACTTCATTTAGAACCAAGTGTATAGCAAAGTGGATAGAAATGGGCATTTATAGCTGCAAATCAATAAAGAGGTAAAAGTACTCCATGTCTGTGTTCACTATAAGCCTTTCATTGGCAGGCTTAGAACACAGCTTAAAGAACAAGTCTTGTTCTATATAAAAGTTGAAGAAACAAATTGTAGTCAAGATTTATTAAGCAATGCTGGACATTTTTGTAACCTAAAGAAATCTCTCCAATTCTTTCTGTGCCTACCTTAGTCATACACCAAAACCAAGTTTGAATGATGGAGCTCAGGGCCAAGACACTGGGAAGCATTGGGCAGGTTGGAGGGGTGTTCCAGTCTAGCAGTTTTGTACAAGCTGATTCTCCAATCTTCAAATAGAATTCCCCTAACCTTAGAGCCATCCCAGCTTTAGATTGAAGACTGAATGCCCTAATTTACTTTTATTTTGCGTGAATGAATTATAATGAAATTCTCTGTATGTAACTATCTAGTTGCTTCTAGCATTCTGTAGACACCAACCATAAATAAAATTAATTCATTAATGATGTAAACTGGGTTTAGAAAAAAATGAGTTGTAATTGTTATTTAAGGGATAAATAAGTGAGAGGCTTATTTATCCTCTCACTAAGCGAGAGGCATCAGAGAAGCTGTGAAGGCATAAAAATGTTGGAGGAAAAAAGAAGGAATTTAGGAAACATTGCAGTTAGTTACGAATTAGAGTGCATTTTATTTTCTTGAACAGATACAATGAAGATCTGAATTCTCTCCTAGTGCTTCGGTCAAATGTAAGACACAATTTTAGAGTGTGTATCTAGGTTGTAGAAGATTTACTGAGTTCCAACTGCTTTGGGCAAGCACTGGATTGGGAAAGTACTTCACATATATTACTCCATATCACTTTCAAAACAACTTTACTAAGATGAGAGGGGTAACATCCTCAGTCTCTCTCCTCTATTAAGTGGCATAATCAAAATTTGAAGCTGGGTGTGATGGACTCTGTGGCATATGTTATTTCTACTACATGGGCAAATCATGAGTCATTCTCTGCTACGTATGTTTTTTATTATGTTTAACTAGGAGCAGACTTTCAGAAGCAGCTGACAGTAGCTATTAATTATTGTCAGAAGTAGCAGCTTAGTAAAAATTATTTCCATCTATATTTGGTAAACATTATTATTCAGGTAAACAATACTAAAAACCTAATTCAACAGGCCAATTCATTCAGCTACTTTGGCTGCATTTTGTATCTCACTCATCTTGATCAGCTACCATGATAAAGCATTTTTCAGAAAACTAAACATTTCATAGGACATATATAAACTTATTTCTGGCCAACTCACTTCCATTACTAATATACGCCATTAACATTTTTTCAAGACTAAATGCCTTTTTCATGTTATTTAATAAAGCAATGACACATGTTGTAACAAGTATTTTTTTTCAAGGGCTGGAGTAGATTTAAAGTTCCCTTTAAGGAAAAATTTGATCCTTCCGAAAGGTACCCTCTTTGCCCTCTTCCATCTAGAAGTGGGCTGGCCTTTTAAAGGAAAGTACATTTTAAGTTCTTCACCTTTTACAACAGAGTAATAATTCTGCATCACCCTTATCTGATTGGTAAAGCTTATGGATCTCTTTTAATTTAATAAGACAAAGAAATCACCCATGAATTGATTTCAATTGCCAAAGCTTATGTGAAATTAACTATCCATTCATCTCTCTAGATTGTCTAAGATTTATCTCTCTAATGAGATGCATCACCGGAAATCAACATGGCTGCACACTATTCTTGCATTTCCCTGAGGCAGTGTTGGTTGAGCATAGGGTATGTATAGACCTGAGGTCATATTCCAGCCTCTCCAAATGTTAAATGTGTAACCTTGAAAAAATTAATCTCCTCGAGCCCAGTTTCCTCACCAGTAAGGGAATTTTAGAAATTCAGGCTGGTTCAGCAAACAAATTTAGAGTACCTGTTAGGAATCATATTTTGTGCTGCAGTTAGCTGTACAAAGTTTTATTCATTTATTGGCCAATATGAATTTTGACCATACACTAACACTTAAGGGATAAGGTCTTAAGGGATAAGGTTAAATCTTTGAACAAGGCTGCCAAATTCCATGTCCTGATAGCTTGTATGTTAGTAAAATATTCAGAAAACAAAAAGGCAATAAAGAAGTCATTCACTATAAACTCAGATAAGTAATGGAAACTACGAAGACAATAAAACAGAATGAGCAGTGATTTTGTGGGAATATGGCTACTTTAGAAATGATAGGAAAGATCACATTCCATTTGACAGATACATAGATTTTAAGAAAGGATGAATAAGACATCTCTCTATTCAAGGAGTTTACAGTCTAGCAGGGGGAAGAGGGGCATCAGCACACTTTCAGTATTGCTACAGTAGAGGTATCCATTTAGAGATTTTGGGGGGAAGATGTGCTTAAGCAATGTAAAAATGCCTCATGTAATGTTATGCACAAATAGGTATTCACCAAATGTTAGTCTTCTTTTCTCTCTTTAAGATTTAACATGATGCCCTTCTCCTTTAATCAATATAAGAAAAAAGCCAATTGAATCATCGTGATTAGTTCTTCAAATCAGAACATCTTGGTCCCGTTAGATGTCTAAAGAATGGATGTTTTATTTTTTTGAGAATAAAAATGTTATAACTCCACAGACTTCCCTCTTATTTTAGCTTTTAGTACTAAATATGGTGCTTGATTTTTGCCTGTAGCTTCTATTTCTTATTGTGTCTTTATTTCTAATCATTTCTATTGTTGTCTCAATGTCATAAGCTGTCTCATGTTTTTCTATATCTGGATAGGAAATAAATGTTTTTTTTGAAAAATGTTCACCCACTGCTGTTATTTTTGTTTCTGGTATTTAGAGGAAGGGCTTCATGTTCGAAGTGGAAAAATCGTGCTAGTATTGTGCTTTTCCACACAGGCAACCAATATCTTGGATAAGACAGAGGCAAAAGGTTGTTAGATAAAATCACTTTAAACCACTCTGTTACTTTAGCATCAGACATTTGGGTGTTTTAAAGCACATAATCTACAATAAAACCTTATTGATGCAATCTTATTGAAGCAGAAGGCAATACAAACCATTAAGAAATTTGAAATATACACTGTCTTTAAACACATATTTAATGTAGTGATTAAGAATATGATTTTAGACTTAGACACACTGAGGGTCAAAAACTGTTTCCTGCACTTACTGGCTGTCACTTGGGTGTATGTTTCAATCTCTCTGGGTCTCATCTGTACAATGTGAGAAATAACACCTACTTCATAAAATTCTTTTGAGACTGAAGACATTGTAAACATCAAGCAATGTTTATAAGCCAATGAACAAAATATCTGATACATAGCAAGTACCCAAAATAGAAATTATTATTCAGATTTACTATCTGTGTAATAGAATGGTTTATGTGCTACCATACACTATCAGAGCAAAATGAATATTCCAAGATTAATAATTTTGCCAAGAATTATAATATATCAACCACCAGATTTCTTAGAATCCCTTCCACTCATAATTCAAGCTCAGGCAGCTCAACAGAGTTCAATCACAAAAAAAATCATATTTATATGGATTCATAAACATATAGAAGCTAGAAGGCTAATCATGAAAGAAAGGCCAAGGGTGGGGGGGTTTTAGTATGAGAAAATGGGAATCTGAAATTAAAGATCTGTCTTGAATTCTAAGAGACAGAATGATGTGAGTACTGTTGGCTAAAGAGATAAAACTGTGTACAAAAAAAAAACCAGATCATCTTCACCTTCAGGGGCACCTGACCTCTCAAGGAGAATGGCAGCATTTGCCAGAGAGTGAAGCAGATGGGTGGATTGGGATTGGCTTGACCTGCGAATGAGCATAGGAAGGCTCCAACAGAAAGAACCTAGTCTGGGGAAAGCAGTCCCAGTCATTGCAGGGATTCAGGAATCAAGGCAGGGATCCAGGCATCAAGGCAGGGATCCAGGATCCAAATCAGAGAATTAGGTAAGCCTAGATTCAGAGCTCATCTTGTAACCACTTATCTTTTATTCCATAGAACATGACCTGTTCCAGAATCTAGTATGAAGTTAAATGGCCTCAGCAGTAAAATTCTCATTGAAGGGGTGGGGGCCCAGTAGTTTACTATCTCAGTCCTTTTTCTCTTGCTTATAACAGAATACTTGAAACTGGGTAGTTTATAAAGGAAAAGAATTTATTTCATAAAGTTATAGAGGCTGAGAAGTCCAAGATCAAGAGGCTTCATCTGATGAGGGCCTTCTTGCTGGCGGGGACCCTCGCAGAGTCCCTGAGTAGTGCAGAGCAGCTCATGAGGAGGGGTTGAGCTTGCTAGCTCTGATCTCTCCTCCTCTTCTTGAAAAGCCACCAGTCCCACTCCCATGATAATTCATTAATCCATTGATGTGTGAATGGTTTAATTCCTTCATGAGGGCAAAGCCGTAATTTCCCAATCACCTTTTGAAGGCCCCACCTCTCAATACTGCCACATTGGGATTAAGTTTTAACATGAATTTTGGAAGGGACAAACATTCAATCCATAGCAAGTATCATGGTACACAAGAAATAGAAACATGAGATACAAGATATTAAAGCACCTCGAGTGGCTGTTGTATAATGAAATGGGGTACAGTGACTTTCAGTCATTCAGGATTTTATAAAGATGATACACACAGCAAGATCAGGTGTGTTAATTTTCTAAGTTTTCTGATGCCTACTATTTTTTTCTTGTAATTTACGGCTCGCAGGTTCAGTTCCTAATTCTCTAATTTTAAAAATTGATGTATAAAATCTAAGGAGCTGGATTAGCATCAAAAAACGAAGGTAACACCCCTGATAGCTGGAATGGCAAGAAGCCTGAATCTTCTTTGCATTTACATATGTGCAAAATAAATAAATAAAATTCTTAACCACCTGAAAGATTATCTTCTGCCTGAGGAATTTTGTGTTTATAATCTGACATTGATAAAAATCTCCATGAGAAGCACGTTTATTGTACCTAGTCCTTTGGTGAAGATATAGCTATAGACATGATGAATGGCCAGAGCAGGGAGAAATATCTATTAAACTAGTCATAGTTGACACCATGTTCCAGCACATAATGTTTGACACGTACTCACAGGTTACTAAAATGATTATGTACTCAAGAGTGAATCCATGCTGACAAACCAACCTTTCACTGATGGAAAGGGAGCCTGTTATTCAAAAGAGTGATTCAAACTTAGATTTAGGCTTTCAAGTAAGTACAGTGTATATTGATTAAAAAATAGGGAACTTTCAGCACTGAAACTCAATAAATGAATTGATAACAATTCTTTTTTGCTCTTATGTTGGAAGCAGTGAAATCAAATTAGATTTCATAGAAGCTTTCAGTATAATATGATACAGTCTATCTAACTGAACTGTAATTCACTAATTCAAAAAAAGTCTTAATCCTATTTTAGATGTGGTAAGCAGGGAGGCCAGAAACTAATGTGTCAATCAAGTAATAAGAAATATAACGATTGGTATATTTCCTGAAGAAAATAACAGCAACTAGTTCTTCTTAAATGTTCTCTTACACTGAATTTTGACTTTGGCTGTTGTCAACTTTTACCTGTTAACAGAAACACCTGGAAAGCAGCAAATGAGGTTGTGCTTCTCTTCCTACTCAGAAGGAGTTTCCCATAGTATAGAGTTAGGGAGTAGCCCCATTAGAATCTCCTGAATTTTTCTAGACAAAGGTAAATTATCAATTCAGGAGCTAAGAGTTCAAAGAGCTCTGACAACAGGTCTGAGGCCAGAGATGTGTCATGGAAGACGGTGTGTGTCATTTGCTTGGTTTCTGAATGTGCCACTCTGCAACACTGCCCTCCTGGGCTTTTATAATATATCTCATAGAACAAATGCCTGATGCCAACACAGTGTCAAAGAATTATAACAAGTATCATTTTAGAAGTTTTAACAAATATAAAAATTACTGTTATTCAGCTAAAGAGTCATGCATTCAAACATTTCAGTATTTTTCTCCTACTACTGCATTTTAAAATTTGATGTGCTCAAAGCATGAGGAAATGAAGAAGAGTTGAGGACAGGCTAGTGTCCTATAAAAATGCATAGCTCTCCTGTTCTTAACTACATTTTTTCAATCAACACAAATCAACACACTTTTATTACGCTTACAAGAAAACTATGCACCAAGCAATCTTAAAGGACCTTAAAAGTACAAAGAAGATCAAAATGTGATTTATGCTGTAGAAAAATTTTTGGTTAGTAGAAAAGAAACAAATGCAATTGCAAACAATACAGTGATATAACACACTATGACAAAGGTCTATATGTGGGATCAACACCCTTGGGTGAACTCTATGGCTGTTCTGTGGTATTGTCATCACTGAGAAGGCTTAGAGCAATTTGGAAAATTGTAAATTGTTCTCACATCTCTTTTGGCATCTCTCTACCCTTTCTAGTGGTTCTCAACCATGAAAATCTCTATTATTCCCAACTGCATTCCCCTTTTAAAATTATCTAATAGATTTCTTTGCACTTAGAAGAATATCTAAATTCTTTTTTTGGTTGATAAAGCTTACAAGATCTGGCCCCACCTTCCTCTCCAAGCTCATCCTACTTATTCATTAGACTTCAAACATACTGGTCTTCTAACTCAGTGCCTTTCAAACTTCAATATGCATCAGATCACCTTGGGGTCATGCTAAAATGCTAAAAATGCAGATTCTTATTCCAAAGGTCTGGGGTGGGAAACAAAATTCTTGCATTTGTAATAAGCTCTAAGGTGATGCTGATGGCACTAGTCCTGGGAGCACACTTTGAGTAGCAATGTGCCAGAGGACCTGTGTTCATTCCAGACACCATCAAGCTACCCTGTAATTGGTAGCAATGCAACTCACCAAACTCATTCCCTCCTTGAAATCATGGTGTGTGTTGCTCCTTCAGCCAGGAACTGGTTTTCCTTAGATCTTTGTATGTCTAACACCTTGTCCTATGTAAGTCTCAGCTCAAATGTCAGCTCCCCAGAAAAGCTTTTCTTAATGACCATATATAAAATGGTCCATCCAATCACTTATCTGTAATGCACCAACAATTTTCTTATTTTAATTACACTTATCACCCTCTGAAGTTTCTTTACTTATCTATTCATATACTTGTAAGCTCTGTGAAGCAATGGCACAGACATTACTCTTCAACTCTGTTTCTCAACACGTAAAGCATTGCCTAACACAAAGGGCTGGCTTCATGGGTGCATAACCTATGCAATTATACTGAGGTCTCTGCTTGGCTTAATTAATTAATTAATCTGCTGTTGCCATCTGGAGATTCATAATTTTATCTTTGAACTTGTGTTTTGTATGTGAAGTCCAATGGGACACTGAAATATGCATGTGAGCAGAGGAAATACACTCAAAATATATGTCCTCTCTTCTTTGCTGCATCATTTTCATGTTGCATTCACAGTGCCCCATCAGTGCAGAATTCCAATGGGTCCACAAGTGTGGGCATGCAACAAGACTCAAAGCAAGTACAAGGTAAGTGTATTACATTCATGTCTGCATAAGTGAGGTACTGACAGACCCAAGAGTCCAGGCTTTCTATTCAAACTGGAACTTGCTTCAAAAGCACAAGGTGTTGGTGTTCTAACCAACCAATTAGAAGGCAATGGTGTGCTAAGAAACAATAATGACCGAGTCACCCTTTTATATTCTTTCTTTCTACTACTTCACTAGCTCACCACAGACATAGAAAATGATGACATACAAAGGAATGGCAGATAGGGCAACCCACAGTTCCCTTTCCTTTCAGTTCTTCCTTACTCAAGACAAACATAATGAGTATTGGTAGAATGTGCACACATTAAGAAGTGAAAATGAACCAATTGAGTTAGTTTTATGCAGTGTTTTACTATTTTATAGGAATGAAATAGATGTTTATACAAACTGTAAAATACAAATTGCATCATTTGGGCGAATCTGGATATATGTTAAATGCACTTATATTTTCATTCAAAACTGGCATGCCACAATATAAAAATAATTGGTAAAAGTGATATTAATAATTTAAAATTATATTTTTTAAAAAATGAAAATGTTTTTAAAAACCCATGATACGTCAAAGAGATTGCTGAAGAAAGAAAAAGCTTTATATTTTAATACCTTTATAACAATTTTTCCTGCCTTTTGAACAAGAAAGCCCACATTTTTATTTTCCACTGGACCCCAAAAATTATGGAGTCCACTCCACTGATTCATAGAAGTACTTACTGAATGAGTAAAAGTTTTGTGCATTTACTATGTGCTGGCATTGTATTAAACTCTTTACATAGACAATCTCTTTTTATCCTCAAAATAACCTTTCAAAATAGATGTTACTGATTAACAGATAAGAAAATTAAGGCTTAGATTAAATAATTTAGGCAATATCTTAAAGATTATTAGTAATGAAACTAGAGTTCAAACTAGTATTCAGTTGTATAGGACCCCAAAGTGCAGTTTCTTGATGGCTTTGCTGTAATTCTTCCCAGAAGCCAGTCTCATTCCAGCCTTTCCTTCGACTGCTGTGAGTATTCCATAGTGGGTCCAAGGTTCTACTGCAAAACAAAATGAACCAAGAATCTGACCCATTTCTACCTTAATACAAAGAACTCTAAAAGGACTCCAGTCCTGTGTCCCCATCCAGATTATCACATGAATGCATGTAAATAGTTCATGATTAGCTAGGTGCTGAATGCCAGCTAATTCCGGAATTTCCTGGAGTATTTCAGGAATTTGTGTCTCAGAGACTGGAGAAACTTTCAGTCTAATTTTGACATCTTATTTAGCCCTCCAAGATGAAGACCATTTCCCTGGTCTACATTAAAATCGTGCAGGTATTTCTAGCTATATTCTAGAGCACTAAGAAACAATGTCTCTCAGCAGTTTTAATCTTCTTTTCCCAAATCTCACTGGCAAATATGAGTACATCTTTTATTCATGGTGTTGAATAAAAGCCTCTGCCTGGACATGCATGGTGTTTAAGATATTTTAAATAATGTTCACTATGGTAACAATATATTTGGAGCTTCTATTATCTGGACATTAAATTGTTCAATTAGAGGGTGAAATATAGTACCATAGCCTTGAACATTTAGTATTAATGAAACAAAAAAAAAATCAGCATGTAATGGGCATCTCTCATTTCTATTTAGTGTTTATTAGAAGAAAGAATCTATTATTTAACATATTTGTGATTAAATATGTTTTACCAGTATAGTTTTTAAATCAAATATTTACTTTTAGCATGCATTTTTTTGATAAAAGTATTTATTAGTGTAAATCCATTTTGAGATCAGATGTGTCGTAATAGGTTCATTACGTATAATGGGACCTAATCACAGGCACTTACTTTCACTCTGTTGCAAGGTGCAGAGCTCTAGATAATTACATGGTAACACATTCATACATCATGCTTTGCAAGAGATTTTCAAATACTTTTAATTTTGTTGATATCAACATCCTCAAATATCTATATTCACTTTTCCTTCTTCAGTATAAAATCCATCAGATACACAAAATTTAGTAAAAGAGCTATTTGGATATCCTTTAATTTGGACTCAATTTTTAAAACTCACTTACTTGTAAACACTTTTCTAACTTTTAAACTGTACTTTTGTCTGTGAGAGAAGTCAGTTGCTTTTGCTCTTTATATAACCAAAGAAATGACAAGAGAAAAACTGGTAGTTTTCTTAGCCTAAATTTTCTTATTTATAAATTGAAGGCAAATGGACATAATGATTTCCAAAAGACTTTTCTTCTCTACAATTCTGGAAAGTTCATTTTTTTTCTTTTAATACAAACCACACACTACTGCACCCTTCCTTTTGTTTTGGCTCCTAACATTATTTATGGTCATTTAACTTGCTCAAAAAATATATTAAATTACCAAATAATTCAGGCAAAAAAGTACCCATGGTCATTATAATCAGTAGCATTACTTTGTATATACATATTTGTTTTGTTTTGATATTTACTTCAATTCCTTACTCCACTCTAGAGAGGAATATTGATATTGTGTGTGGTACTGATTTTAAAAAGTGTGAATCTCCATCTACTTTGTCATGTGATAAGAATTTGTTTTTCAATCTCTTGATGAATCATTTGATGCTTTACGTATGTTTGTTTGGTGAAGGAAGGAAGAAAAAAAGGGAGGAGTAAAAAAAAATAAAATTTTAAGTTATCCCAAAAGAAGTATGAAGCACTGTCATGGATAATATATTTCCAGTAATAACCTTTTTTTAAAAAAAAAAAAAGTTTCAAAGATGACTTCAGAATTTTTTTGTATATTTTTGTTTTTACATGTGTGTGTCTTTTAGAAAAACCGGAAATAAAACAAATGCTAAAAGATAAAGAAAAAGAATATGGAAACAAATCATTTTCTCAAAACTTTTCAGACTAAGCTTCAAGGTCCTGCGATATGACATATCAATGATAAATGTCCTTCCTCCATCTCATAAACTAAAACATGAAGCATGCTTAGAAAAGTAATCAAGATAATTTCCATCCGTATTCTAAGCATTTAGAGCAGTTGTTCTCAATCCTGGCTGCACAATATAATCATCTGGAAAACTTTTAAAAAATTTCTGAGCCGCACCTCTGATCAATTAAAATCAGATACTGGGTGAGACTGGGCATTCCTACTGTTTTTAAAGCTCCCTTAGGGATTCTAACGTTCGCTGGGGTTGAGAGCATTGATTTAGAGTAAACCCTATTATACAGTGCAGTAAGAAATATATATTTAAATTTTAAGTGAGAAGGCCATTTTTTATAAGAGTTTGAAGTCACCTTACAAACCTCATGATATATTCTGTCCATTTTTCAATGATGACCCAAACCAGAAATCAAAAGCACCTGAGATCATGCTGAGCCTGTGGGATTATGAGTCAGTGATCATACAGCAGCCTTTAAAAGAGGCAGTTCCTTGATGTGTGCTGACCCTCTTTCCACGGTGGCCATCTCTCCAGGTAAGCTCTGGAGAACCAAACCACCCTGCCCGGCACTGGCTCTTCTTTAAGCTTTTTTTTTCCCCCTCCTGTTTGAAATGGTTAAATTGAGGTAAAAATGTAATATTCATGTGATACATTGAAGCTCCCTAGAATGGAAATTTTTATTTCTTTGCCAAAGGAAGCAAGAACAGTTTGCAGGCAAAAATATTAAAATAAAAATTGCCTACATTTTTAAATTTCTCTTTTATTTGGATTCTTACCAGACCAAAGTGAAATGTGACCTGCAGCTTTGAGATGTCTCCTAGAATGAATAATCTCCAGGTATATTCAAAACCATTAATTGCCTCTGAAGGGAGCAAAATGAGGCTTCCCCAGAATCCTGTTATTTGAAGGAGAGATACTGAGCTCAGTGTTTGCTGCTTCAGTGAGTTCCTATGGCCAAGGTATTCATGTTGCGCTTGAACTATGAAGTTTGAAAGGAATAACTTGGGCAGAGAACTTTGTTGTATTAGCGTGAATGCACTGAAGGCCTTGTAAAGAAGGTTGTTTGAATTACATGTATGTTAAACAGTTTCAGAAGAAGTGTTTCCACTTTAGGTTTTTGCGCAATAAAACCCAAATTGCAGTTTTGACTACTGAGCTGAGTCTTTTAACTTGCTTTTTTCAAAAATAATAAATCCCCCTAATGATGACTATGCAGCACTGTCACACCCTGACAGTCTATCTCTTCAACCCCTATGTCATTAAAAGATCTGATTTACTTATTTATGATGATTAATAATAATGAAATATGTATGAAGAGATAAATTATACAAATGCTGCACTGTACGTCAGAGGGAGAGATACAAATTGCCAAGTCCTGATTACCTGCACCCCACTACGAACAAGGGGCAGCAGAACATTTTCTCTTCAGCTGATTTTCCTCTGGGATTATAACTTGGGAAGTAGGATATGAGAAAGTTTGAAAGGTATTTTGACAGGCTCAAATTCTTTTTTAATTGTGGATTTGTAAAACTCTACTTCTCCCCACTAACCCACCCCCAGCTTCTACTGTTGCCTTCACATCACATTATTTAAGGCAGCCTAGAATACCTTAGTCAATGCCAGCTGACGGGAAGTGTCAAATGCTTTTGTCTCAGCTGACACAGAAATATCAGACACCCTCCTAGTGCTTTTCCTGGATATCCATAACTTGACATGTGGGGCTTGTGTGCTGAGCAAGTTAAGTGAAACAGTGCATCTCACGGAAAACGCTGTGGGTGGATGTGAAATGGGTTCAGGATGGTCGTGAGGTGATTTGTTTTGAGGTAGATCATCACCACAGCATGCTTATTAATTCTTAATCGCGCATGATGTATCTACTTCCTTTGGTTAGGAGGTTTGTCATTAAGGAAAGAAAGAAGACATAAACAAGCCCAAGCCCCCCAAGTTTCACATTCGATAAACAAATGGATAATATTTTAAAAAATAGAGACAATGTTTTGCTATGTTGCCCAGACTGGTCTCGAACTCCTGGGCTCAAGTGATCCTACCACCTTGGCCTCCTAAAGTGTGAGGATTACAGGCGTGAGCCACCTCACCCAGTGAAATTTTTAAAAATACAAATCATTGAGTGGACAAAATTTAAATGAGTTAATGTGTCTGCCTAAGCTGAAATTCCATAGATTTGTCACTGAAGTTTCTAGAAGGCTGTAAGCTTTCTCTTGTCTGCTTGTCTCAGTCCCTCAGACACAAACAATGGCCTTGTTACCCATAAAAGAATTTTATCACCTTGTTTTCAGAAGACCTGGTAAAATTGACTGGGGAAATTCCCTATTTGGAAAAGTTGATAGGATCTTGTCAATACCTGGAACAGAAAAAAACTACTGATATATACTCTCCAATATGATAACATCCCCAATCCATGAGATCCTTGAGGAATACATATAACCATTTCTAACCAAATCACTAGGTCATTATGCCCTACAGGCTCATTGCTGTTTTTAGCTATTTCCAAATCTTTGTCACATTAATCTTTCCATAGACATTATACACACACACAACAGATGTTCCTACAGATAAATTATGTGACAGAGAGAGAAACATGACACTTTTAGGAGATAAATATTAAACTAAGTCAAAACAAAATATGAAGCTGACAATCCTTATAGTCATTTGCTATTGTAATGGAAGGTCTTGATTGTTTTAGATTTGTTTTTGTCAGATGGAGTTCATAAAAAATTTAGAAAATTCACTATAGATGCAGTCAATTTATAACTGTATTTTTATTTGCGATTTTATTGATTGTCTGTCTCTCCATAAGAATGTAAACTCTTTCAGAGCACTGATAAACCTGGCTTTATTCATTGTGGTTTACCTCATATAGTAATTTATATGTACCTCCATATAGTAATTTATCAGTAAACTGAAACAAAAAATAAATACGAATCTCACTAAGGAAAAAACATGAATCTTCTGTTTTACATTACTGATAGTTGATTGAGAACTAGATTTATTGGTTGGAACTTCTAACACTCTCATCTGTCATCTCGAAGTGAAACTTGAACATGCCATGAAAATATTCTACAAGAGAAGTAATAAGTATCACGCATTCATCAGAAGGCAGTGCTATATAAATAATCTCTTTACTTTTATTACTTGTGGTTTCCCTTTCTAAAACATAGCATTTTAAAGCTCTAGTGAGAAATGGAATGGCCCGCTATTTTATAATCCTTTGCAAGTTAAACTTCTGCATTTTTTGTGTTAATCTTAACCATTTTATTTCTCAAACTTTGTAATCTAGACCACATAAAATCTGGTTCATCAAAAACAAATTTAAAAATAGACTCCTTGAAAGAAGAAGAGTTGCCATTTGATAGAGGTTATTAAACTTACACTTGCATAAGATTCACTTTGGCTGACTGCCAAAAACATAGATTCCTAGTTTCCATCCCTAGAGCCATTAGGTCTTGGGTGGGGACCAGGAATCTACATTTTTAGCTAGTACTGTACCTCAGTCCCTATGCATGAGGAAAGCACTCTCAAAAATGTTGCCCTAGTAGTTTAGGCTTGAATTTGCCTTTTATTTGGGGGGAAAGGAGTAAAAGTTCTTTATTGGGATTTTTGATTATGCAAGTTTTTCCCATTCTGCCATGAAGACCATCCCTTCTGTCAGTTGATGAATTTCTCCGCATAGAGGGTGATCAGTCTTATGGGCAGACTTTCTGCAGATTATTTCCTCATTTGAAAATGGTTGGTTTATTTTCCTTTTCATAGCTCTGAGAAGAATGGGGGATTGGATTATGGACAAGATAGACTCCTTGAAGTACATCCCCACTGGAGAAAAGTAAGCTGCAGAAAACCAGGCCTGAGGAGAGAGGCAAGCAGGAGAAACCCTTTGGAAAAGACCTCACCTAAGGCTCTGAAAAGATTTTTTCATCTTCTGCTTAGTAAAATTCATCTGTTGTGATGCTACATAAAGTATATTCCTTCCTCTCGACAGATCATTACACTAGACAGTTTGATTGTTTTTCAGAGCATTAATTACCATTTGAAATGTTCACATTTATATATTTGTTTACTTAATTTTTGTTTTCTCCTCCAAATAAAATGTAAATACCCCACGTGCAGGTTTACGTGATCTTTGCAGGCACACATGAATCAAGAACAGGTGGACATAAAGCAACAACATTTACATATCCTAAAAATAAAACTATAATCACTAAATTTTTTTTAATTTTCTAATAGGATAAAATTTAGACTTGAACCTGTTAAGGAGAGAATTAATGAATTAAAAACTAGTACTGGGGCATTTTTACTTCTAAGATATGTAATTGTTCTTGCTGTTGTTGTTACTGTATTTGTTTTGTGTCCATCAGTTCTTGAATCATATGCACCTGAGCAAGACAATTAGGATTCCTGGTTTCTTGGTATTCATATATTAATTGTGGATGTAAATAATAATAAAATAAACAAACATATAAATGTGAGGATTTTGAATGTAGGTTAGTGCTCTGGAGAAAATCAAACTGACTAGTATGATAATTTGCCTGGAAAAAGAGGTGCACTTTATAAAGGGTGGCACCAGAAGAGTTTTACAAATTACAAGAAGAAGAAAAAGATCTTCTCAGAGTCCTAAGGCCAGGTCTCTCCGCAGAGCTCTCTCCTGATGCCTCTCTTTTATCTAACTCAAATATCTGAATGTATTAGTCCATTTTCACACTGCTATAAATAACTACCTGAGACTGAGTAATTTATAAAGAAAAGAGGTTTAGTTGACTCACAGTTCCACATGGCTGGGAGGCCTCAGGAATCTTACGATCATGGTGGAAGGTGAAGGGGAGGCAAGGCACCGCTTAACACTATGGTGGCAGAAGAGAGAGTGAGCGGGGAGTGCTACCTTTTTAAACCATCAGATCTCATGAGAACTTACTCACTATCACAAGAACAACAAGGGAGAAATCCATCCCCATAATCCAATCACCTCTTACCAGGCCTCTGTTCCCACACATGGGGATTACAACTCAAGACTGATTTTGATGGGGACACAGAGCCGAACCATATCACTGGATCAACTGGAGTCTGCTTTCATTGTGTGCTTTTCCTCTTGGATTTATGAATATGTATGGTAATATTTTTACTTGAATAACAAACACTTTGTATTAAAAATGGCAGAGGCCTCTGATAATTTTGTCTTCCTTAGCAAGGAAAATATTAATAGAATAGAGGCTTAATCATCTTAATCCATTTAGAAGCTGAGCTGAGTTGAAGCTGTGTTCATGTTGTGGTAATGGTTCTCTACCTTTGATTTTCTCCAGCTCTTCCGGCATAGCCCTCTAGGAATTCCAGCTGAGAGCCTGCCAGTAGCCTACCAGGGCTCCTCCCCTTCCAGATGCTGACCTCTCATCTTTGTCACTTCCACATCACAGACTGTCAATAACTCCTATATGCTTTGGAGAAGATGTCTACTAACTACTTGGCCTCCAGCCTCCACATAACTCGAGAATTTGACAAGTGTCTTGAAAGAAAAACTGATGATGGGTCAGGATCAGTCTTCCCTGCTCAGTAGATCCTTACCCCTCAAGTCTTTCCACTACTACAAGACACCAAAAGCTTTCCTGGTTTCTCTATCTCCTCTACCTAGAGAATACCAGGTTCTCAGACATTAGCTCTAGGTCCAAAATCAAGCCGGTTTTTCTTTTGCAGGGAAAAACTGGCCGAATAGTGTTAACTCACTAGTCTTCCCCTTTCTGGAATCTTGGCATTTCTAGTTTTGGTTGCCCTAGCAGCTCTCCAATGCCTTTAAACAGATGTCTTCTGCTTCTATTAGGCTTGTTCTTGGCTGAGGCCTTGGTCTGCTGGAAAATACTGCCACATACGCAGAAGTAGAAGTCTCTTGAGACATCATCTTATTAGTTATTTATTGCCATGTAACAAATTACATGGAAACTTAGTGACTTAAAGAAACAATAAAAATTTATTATCTCACATTTTCTGTGCATCAGAATTCTGTGGGATAGGAGCAGCATAGCAGATGGTTCTGGCAAAGAATCTCTCATAAGGTTGTAGCCCAATGTTGCCTCGGGCTTGAGAATGAGCTTCCAAAAGAGTTCACCCTCATGACTGCCAAGCAGGTGCTGGCTATTGTAAGAAAGTCTGTCCGTTTTCACACAGGCCTGTTACGAGTATTTTCATGACATGGCAGGTGACTTCACCACAATAAGGGAAGCAAGAACAGGAAAAATGGAAGTGTGCATGTCTTCTATGACTGAGCCTTAGAAATTACACTCTTTCCTTTCTGCAATATCCTATTAGTTACGCAGATCAGTCTTATTAAATGTAGAAGAAGATACACAGAAAACAAACACCAGGGAACAGAAATCATTATCAGTAAGGCCTATCTAAAAGAAAATTATATTTAAAATAAAATTCTTCATATAGATGGAGAAATTTAAGAAGTTGTTTTGCTGCAGTAATGATCATTACAAAATAACTACAAAGTTGTGCTTCTAGTGTTGGTTGCAATTCTGCTCCTATCTCATGCACCTTCTTCATTCAAGGATCCAGGCTTGAATAGCAACCTGCATCTGGAATATGCTATTCTGGTGACAGAGGGAAATAAGAGCAAGAACCATAGCACACAAAGGCCCTCAATTGTTTACTTAGCTATGGTATACATCACTTCTGCCTACATTTCATTGACCAAAGCAAGTCATATGGCCAAACCAGATAACAATGGAGTATGAAAGTACATTTCTCTAATAGACAGGCACTGCTAGTACCATGGTAATCATAGGGATATATATCATATTTCAGGGAAGTAAAGAATGAATAATTAGGATCAATAATAAAATCTACCATGAATATCTAGTATGCACAAAGCAGTCATATAATAATAAATTCTATTTAAAAAGGGCAGCTCAGCTGGGTGCACATAGCCACATTTATAATTCTGGCTTCAGTCTTGAAAAGAAGAAAACTGTCAAACCATTTCTACTTTTCGAGGCTTTTAATTGTTTTCTCATTTTTAGTCATGTTTCAGTGAAATACTTTGGATAATATCATGATTACCAAATCAGTAACTTCATTTTTTATTCTACTTTAAAATTACATTTATTCTACTTTATAAATGAAGTATGAATCTGATCCAATTGTATTCAAATGACATTCTAAAAAAAGTATATAGAAAAACAAACTGAGAACAATCTAAGAATGTTTTATAAACTATCTGGAAAGATTGTTAGGTATCAATTGTGGAAAAAGATTAGAATCAAATCTTAAAATTTTTTACTTAGTATTTTTCTAATAATTCAACATTACTAAAAATTAAATTGATACTATAATAATTAATGACCTTTAGTCCTGACATGTAGAATGTGTCCATTCTCTGAGATAATACAATGACAAAATTATTATGCTTAATACTACACCCAGAAATATTATTTTTAGCATCCAAACTAGATTTTTCATATTTATAATTGTGCATGGAAACAATCTGATAATCATATTTTAAGACCATATATTCTGACATGGAGTTGCAGAACTGTGATGATCATAAGCCTATATGTCTGAAAAGAATACATTGTGACTAAGACTTACACTAAACACAAAACAACACTGATTTCTAGTATCTTTTGCCAGATATACAGCTCTACTGTCCTTGTTTAGGTTTGCTGATTCAAATTTCTGTAAGAGTTGGGGTGGTCTTATGAGGGTAGGAGGAATTCTATGCTAACATTGGAATGAAGCACAAGAAAAATTAAAAGTTTTACAACCATATGGAATGCAGTGACTTATCACTTGATAAAACAGAATTTAACTGTTCAAGCCCTCAGCTATGTAGTTTGGTTCAGCTCTAATTAATAATATTAATTCCATTCATGTTCTTGGGTTCTAGTTTTCACAGCTTTCATAAAACTAATTCTAACTTTTATACAATTGAATGTCCACATAAGCCAGGCTAGCTAATATATATTAGTTTGAAAAATTGCTTTTATGTGATACTTCACCCAAATACTTTTTTTCTATCTAATATCTCTATCAACCAGGTAAGAAATTGTTTTCACCATGCAATCTGTCAAAATTACCAATTTTACAAAAACATTGGCATCAATTTTTCTTTTTCTTTTTCTTTATTTCTTTTTTTCTGAGATGGAGTCTGGCTCTGTGCCCAGGCTGGAGTGCAGTGGCGCGATCTCGGCTCACTGCAAGCTCCGCCTCACGGGTTCACGTCATTCTCCCGCCTCGGCCTCCCGAGTAGCTGGGACTACAGGCGCCCACCACCATGCCCGGCTAATTTTTTGTGTTTTTAGTAGAGACGGGGTTTCACCATTCACAGGATGGTCTCGACCTCCTGACCTCGTGATCCACCCACCTCGGCCTCCCAAAGTGCTGGGATTACAGGCGTGAGCCACTGCGCCCGGCCGGCATCAATTTTTCAACATGCAAAACACACATACATGTTCTAAGTATATAAAAATACACACCACTGGACATTGAAATTTACAGAAATTTCTTACACTGTAATACTAATTGTGGCTGAAGGCATAAATGCCAACACATAACTTTTCCTCCATTAACTCTAAATTCTTCAATCATATCCTGACATTCTTCCTGTCCCTAACATTTTATTTTAAAGGCACATGCAGTGATTTTTTTCATTTTAATTCATGTATGTAATACACAAATTATGTTTTTATAAGTCAAAATTTCCCATTCACTTACATCACAATTTTAGACTTTACTTAGCAGTGGCATCTCACACTTTTAAGTTTTGGTTTCTTTAACAACTAAATTTTGTTAAGTAGATTGGTCTGCAACTAATGCTGACATATAATTAGAGAGCCACTATTTAAAGAAACCCTTTTGAAAGTAAAAAAATCACTTGAAACACAAGAAGTCACCCCCTGTTTCATCTCTTGCAAGTTTGATTGTTTTTTTTGTTTGTTTGTTTTTTTTGAGACTGAGTCTCACTCTGTCGCCCAGGCTGGAGTGCAGTGGCTGTGATCTCGGCTCACTGCAACCTCTGCCTCCCGGATTCAAGCGATTCTTCTGCGTCAGCCTCCGGAGTAGCTGGGATTACAAGCACCTGCCACCACGCCCAGCTAATTTTTGTGTTTTTAGTAGAGACGGGGTTTCACCATGTTGGCCAGGATGGTCTCGATCTCTTGACCTCATGATCCACCTGCCTCGGCCTCCCAAAGTGCTGGGATTATAGGCATGAGCCACTGCGTCCAGTCTGAATTTTTATATATCAGGTTTTCTTACAAAGAGGAATACCTCTGATTTGTTTCATATACAACACAAGTGCTTAACTTTCTGTAATAACTGCTCTCATCAAACCAAAATAGTTTTCTACTATGCAAATGTTTAGTGTTAGTTAAAAGTAATGAAGGGCTGTCCTACAAGAAAAGCATTATAATTGATCTTTAACAAAAGTTAAATTAATAACCATAATTAATACACATCACATTTTGGCTGCCTTATTATTAAAAAATGGACACCCATATTCTCTGATTGTTTTTGATGATATGAACTAAGAAATTCCTCCAGTGGATGAGTTTTCCCAATGTGCTTTTACATGATAAAATTTTTTTTCAAACATTTGAAAAACTTTATAGTAGGAAGCACTTTTAAAATATGTATTAGCAATATTCCAAAAGTCACTATGGGAGCATTTCCTTCAAGTTTCTGTGCATAAATCACTGTGCATGCTCTCCAAATATCAGAGGAAGAAATGTCAGCAAATAACTTCCCAAATATAAGATACTTTTGTAGTTAAATATTTCATTTCTGCATGAGTGGCCATGCACATCTATGAATTTACCAGGCATTTGTAGTCTATGTGGCACAATAATAGGTATATAAAATTGAATATTATATCTCATTCAGATAAAAGATGAGAGTAATATGAGAATTATCAACAAATTTAAAACATTTTATGCTCTTTTTATTACATTCAGAACTATAGATTAAGTGTCTCTAATACATTTTTTCTCTCTTTGCAAACTTCAAGAAAGCAGGAATTATGCTGTATTACAAGCATCAATAAATGTTGATAATGTTGTGATTTTAAAAAATATATATGATTTTATAAGTACGTTTCTTTAGCACTCTGGTTCATACTTAAAACTTCTCTTTTACCCATGGGCAGTTGTCATTTTTTTCAATTATTAGTATTCAACAAATGTTTATATTGTGCTCACTATATACTAAGTATTAATACTTCATATACTGACTTACTTCTCATGGAAACTATGTAAGGTGCATGCTCTTATTCTCCGTTTATATGAGTAAAACTGGAGCACAGAGTGGTTGGGTGACTAGTGTAAGGTCACATAGCTAGCAAATGGAGTATATGGGATGTGAATCTCAACCGTGTGACCGAACCATTCGTACTATGCTGCTCCTCCAATAATGACCTCAATTAAGTTGTGTACATGATAATTGATTACTTCATTTTATGTTTGTTGGTGATCCAATAACTGTATCACAATATTCATTGAACCCTGAAGACACATCACAAACAGGTTGTCTATGAAATTATCAGAACCAGAATCCTCGATTTCAAGAGCAAGTGTTCCAACTGCTGAGTGGCCAGTGAACCCACAGTTTCTGTAAATAAATTAGAATGCATCAAGCCTGCCTAGTACACAGGTATCATCAGTTATTATAGTACAAGCTAAAAGCAAAGCCCTGTTTTCTTCACATAAGAACTACAAGCTCCTCCTAGAAGGGAACTACAGCTAAAAAATTAAACATTTCTTTTTCCCAAAGCTTCTTTACCTTGATTATCCTATAAATAGGAACAGGTAGTAGTATTTTCATTTCATAGAAGGAAAAATTGAGACAAGGTGAGATCTTATTACAGGAAAGTTACTCAGTAAATTGGTAGGAGAGATTTTCAGTGACCTATAGAGCACTCAAAAGGAGAAGCAAAATAGCCTTAGTCCCTTTAGTACTTTGGAAGCATTTAAAGCCAGACTTTTTCCTATTTATATTTGAGAATATTTGTAACGATTTAGTAGGAAACTATTTTATTTCACCAGTATAATGCTTAAGAGTTAAAAGTAGAGGTTAAATTGTGTGATTTCTGAGCACCAGAGATATTCTTCCAGCCCCTAAAAGCTCCTCCACTAGTTTTGTAATATTTATAATTTATATATGTTATAAATATTGGCATCAATTGGCATTGAAAAATAGCATCAATATCTTCAACATGCAAAAACACACATCTTCTAACCATGTAAAAGAGAGTATGTGAAAAGAGAGGTAATATGGTAATACTAAACATTCTTAATGATTTCCATTTGTGTAAATTCTCCTGAAAGTTTATTTTTGAAGGGAGAAAACAACACAATCTGGAAGTCAATAGGATACCAAAGGTAAGTTTGCTCCAAAGAGGAACAGGTAAAACTGAGACAGAACCCAGAAGGTGGTATCTAAGAACCCAAAGAGAAACTACCTCACTTTTGTTCTATATGAAAGAGAATTAAAGTGTAAGCAAGTCAAACCCAATTAATCCTTATTAATTGAGAAACAATGTTCATAGTAGTTTTAACTACATAAACCAACTTCAAAGTATTAGAGTAATAAATGCAAAAAATTCAAGATCAGTCATTCAAAACTATAAATACGCTTAAGAAGTTGAACTTGGTACAAATCAAGCCCCAGGCCAGTGGCTTCTAAAAGAGATTGGGTAAACTATGCTGAGCACTGTTAATATGCAAAGCAAAGCAGTTGCTTCTGAAACAGAAAGTGGGCCCCAAAGTGCTTCCATTGCTAAAATATAAAAGACTTACCCAGGGCAAGCCTGGAGTCCTACACAAACTCTGCTTGGAAAGAGAGTTTAAATGTAGGGTGAAATTGTTGGCAAGGATTTTTCTTTCGCCTAATTTTTCAGTGCAATAGATGAAAGAACAGGTTTAGTGCGGACCTAATAAAAGAAGCCTTAGATTTGGAATTCAGTCTGCAAGAGTAGAGAGTGATTTTTCTGGAATAGCAGTCTCCTGGCCATGCGAGCCATCCAGGAAAACACAGCAAGTATAATCATTTCAAGGCCATCATGTAGCAAATCACAGGAACCAGTGTTCAGCCTAAGACACACATGTGTCCTGATAATTGGGGTTGTATGGGAAAGGAGATGCAGTCCAGGACCACGGATAGAAAGATCTGGTTAAACTAGCATAAACAACATGCATTCCAGGGTGAATCCTGCCACATTCCTCTACAGGCCATGCTTAACCAGTTAGCATGGTTACGTTACAAAAAAAAAAAAAAAAAAACCACACCTTTTGCTTCATCTCTGGCATAACAATGTGTTCAAGAATTTAAAAGATGTGTATGAGGAACTGAGGACTAGCAGTAGAGCTTCTTTGTCTAGACTTCAGACTCTGAAAAAACTCGTTAATAAGATAGAATGATAAGCCCAGGAGTTTCACAAACTGACCTTTTGCGTTTTGGGCTCCAGTCATCAGATTCTAAATTGAGCCACCAGCAGAAAAACACATGATATATCATTTTGAAGCCTTCTGGATCCAGTATTTTAGGATGATAGTTATTTACTTAATTTGCCATTTTAAAATAATATCTATAAAGTATAAAAAATGATACCTGGCATATAGTAACGGGTCAATAATATAAGCTATTTTTGGGTCTCAGAAAACAATACTCTGAAATGAAGGCCTCAGAAGCAAAAGTTTTTCTGACCATCCCCTGCTCTCTTATTCTCAGTCCCATTATTTCTTGGGAATAGCCATAAAAACTAGAATCCCTTTTCCCCAAAGCTAGCCATAAAATCTAAAAATATTACTCTAATTTTCTCTCTACTTTTCTGTATAAAAACTAGATGTAAAGAAATTATAAGATCAGGCTGGGTGCGGTGGCTCACGCCTATAATCCCAGCACTTTGGAGGCCGAGGTGGGTGTATCACGAGGTCAGGAGATCGAGACCACCCTGGGCAAAATGGTGAAGCCCCATCTCTACTATAAAAATACAAAAAAAAAAAAAAAAAAAAAAATTAGCTGGGCGTGGTGATGTGCCCCTGTAGTTCCAGCTACTTGGGATGCTGAGGCAGGAGAATCGCTTGAACCCAGGAGGCGGAGGTTGCAATGAGCAGAGATTGCACCACTGCACTCCAGCCTGGCGACAGAATGAGACTCCGTCTCAAAAAAAAAAAAAAAAAATTATGAGATCTACTTTGTTTAACTGTAGTTCACAAGACCCTCATTCCAGAGAAGACCCTACCCTACACCCAGAAGGAAGGAATACATGCTCAGAGAGCCCAGGAAGAATCCAGACAGACAGGCTCTGCCTCGTTTCCCTACTCAGTCTATTAGCATTAGATCATAACTGTTTTGTCCAATCATACTTTTACCTGGCTGCTCATACTTTGTTGAATCTAAGCATAAAAATGAACAAGTTTCCCTTTATCTTTGGGTCTTCATTCTAATGACTCCCATGTGTACATGTTACATGAATTTGTATGCCTTTTCTTTAGTGAATCTGCTTTTTATGAGTTCCTTTTTCAGTGAACTTTCAGAGACCAAAGGGGAACTTTCCCGTTGGCCCTTACACTATTTATTATTACTGGAACAGGAATATATTGTAACAGGAGATCTTTGAGTTAATCATACTTTTTGAATAGACTTTTGCTTCATCAATACACTTTAACTCAAATGGCACTATTTTTAGCTCCACATTCATCTTGAACTTTTATTACTTTATATACTCTTTGTAGGTTCTCTTCTTACATATGTGTGAAATTTTAAAAGGTATTTTAAAGTAGCAGTTAAGTTTGCAAATGTGCTGTTAAATAAATACTCAAAATATTATGTTGTGTATGGGTAATGTGGCAAGATGAGATTTTCTTTCTTCTCCCATTTTCTTTCTTTGACCTTACTACATGTGATTAAATCAGTAAAGAGACAGACTTATGTGTGAACTCAGAGGTTGTGCTCTGAGATTTGGTCAATTTTAGCAAGAAAACTCTCTAAATGTTTCAGAATTGTTTCCTTTTAATAATTGGTAAGACTTAAACCTTCTCCTGCAAAGAATAAGTACAATCTACTGCAACACTTCCAATACGGAGCTGAGAGAATGATGCAAGACCTTGCTATATGCCTTTCTGGATACTTAGGACGTAAAGCTAAGGGCAGACAACATGAAAAGACCAAGTAAAATGTCTCCTAGAAGGCTAGGAGAAGGTATATTGGAAAGAAAATGGGCTTCAGGAGGCCTATACAGAGTTTGTAGCTTCATAGGGCAAATAGCGAGCTATTTTGTAATATTCACTGGGCTGTGCGTTCATGTCAAGATTACTTCCTTTTTTGTTGAACTGTACCTACACATCTTTCTAGGTAATATGCACATAATTAAGGCTTGACAACCATAACAAGTCATCATTTCAAAAGCTAAAATTAATTTTTTATCAGTAATTGTTCCGAATTTAGAAAGGAGAAAGCAGTCATTTCCTAACCATAAGAGTTGTGTATTTTGCCTAATGACAGGGCTACATTTTATAAGTGTTGTCTGGTAAGTATAATTTATTAAATGTATCAAATAATTGTTTGAAAAATAACAATAATTGCCTCTTCTTGCAAATGATGCTCACAGTAATGTCAAGCTCTTCCAAAATTGAATGATTTACTTCTGCTTTTCATTGAATAAAACAACTAGCAGATTATCCTTAGACTGCTATTTCATGTACTGTATTTATTTTACAAAAGCAAAATTGTGAAGGGAACAATTTACCAGAATCAAATGCTGCTCTCTTCATCTTTACTTTCCTTGTTGGCTGTGGCATGCACAATGTAATGGTTATATTGTCAAGATTCCACTAGATTGCAATTCATTTTCCCCCTGTTACCCAAGAGCCTAAAAGCAAATTCCCAACAATATATTAAGAGGCATAGAACAATTCTTGAAAAAAGAATTAGATTAGATATGAAGCAATACAGGAAAAGTTGGAAATTGGGAATTATACTTATCAAGTTGCATGTGAAGAAATGTCATTTGTGAGCTCTCCAAGGAACCTGTTGTGGCTGTTTGATACACTGTGCCTAGGATTTGTCAGGTTGCACCATAGTTCTTGGATTAAAAGAAACAAGCATTCATTTATCTTGTAAAACTGCTCCTAAGATGGACCAATTTGTCTGCCAATGTTTATCCTTCTTTCAATCTACGAAGTGGATTTTTCCTGAATAAAAGCTAATGCTGAGCTATTTTTATTCTCTTTTTGTGTGTTCAACTGAGTTTTCTTGCCTCATGAATATGCCTCAATCTTTTTCCTGAGCTTTTCCATACTTATTGTTGAATATTTAGTGAGCCATAATTAAATTTGTATTATCTGGAAAAACAGCATCCAGATAATTCAGATATGAAAATCTACTCAAACCCATTGACCTCATTCTCTACCTTTCCCTTGATCCTGTTCCTAGAATATGCTGAATAGTAGGACAGTTGGTTTCATATTCTCATTGTTTTAAGTCTATCTGCTTTGTAATAAAGCTTCTAACAAGCAGTGAAATTACCTAAGAGGCAAAAAACAGAAGAGAGAAGGAAGAAATGCCAGAAATGTCTGAAAAAATGAACCTTTAAAAAACTCGAAAGTTTCCTCTAAAGTTTTTTCAATTTGGGTTTTGTTTTTACCAGGCAGAGGGGCTCATTCTCTGCTTGTTTCTTTTAAAAAAATCATCTAAGATTTTTTTGAAGGGAAACATTCAAGTATCTTTCTACTATAAAGATTTTGTCATTCTATGTAATTTAAACACGTTTCATTTATGATCATGTAACCTAAAAAAATACTAATACTGAAAGCAAAATATTCCCTTAAAAACTTCTTTTTATGTTTGACTTTCCTCTTGTTTTAACCTTTTTTTTTTTGTCATCATGCCCTACTCTTCAAAGAAAAGAGGTAGGACAATCAATTAGTAATCTGAAAATGATAATGATACTATGCCATTTACTTGGAAACTAAAACATTTCCAAATACTTTCCACTCTAATAATGGAATAAGACAATTACAGTTTTAGGAGTTCTATAACTCTCATTGCTCTAGTGGTTTTCCAAATATTTTCATTATGTGATAGAAAATGGCTTTCTGCTCAGTACACCAGATAAATCTGGCCATGAACTTACTTGCAGGGTAAGTGAAAGGTGTTGGTCTGTGCTTTTATTGCTCTATTTATAGAATAATGGCTAAACCTAACATTACCTTATAACCCATGAATAAATTATATAGTCTTATATTTTTTAAAATCGGATTTCTTGATAGTGTGAGAAATGAAACTATGCTATAGCCCTAACCATAGACAACTATCTCCTCTCTGTAAAATCTGAGTAACAACCTTACAACAGAAAGATCTGAGCTCGGGGTTCCCAGTTCTGAACTCTTAAAACTGGGTGCAACTTTGTCCACCCTTGTTCTGCTATTGTTCAAGGAGGTAAAAGGTGGATATGAGAAATCTTCTCTACTCAAAAAATTGTCCTCCTCATAGTCTACTAATTATAAATAGGTGTAAGTTGAGCTCTTTGTTATCCTTAGAGTTAAAAAAAATGCAAAGTAATAATATTGTAAAAGTTTGGAAAAGGAAGACAAATTCAGAGAAGAATTAATTGGATTGAATTGCATTGCTTCTTTTTTTTTTTTTTTTTTTTTTTTTTTTGAGACAGAGTCTCACTCTGTCGCCCAGGCTGGAGTGCAGTGGCGCGATCTTGGCTCACTGCAAGCTCCGCCTTCCAGAGTCACGCCATTCTCCTGCCTCAGCCTCCGGAGTAGCTGGGACTAGAAGAGCCCACCGCCACACCCGGCTCATTTTTTTTGTATTTTTAGTAGAGACGGGGTTTCACCGTGTTAGCCAGGATGGTCTGGATCTGCTGACCTCATGATCCGCCCGCCTCGGCCTCCCAAAGTGCTGGGATTATAGGCGTGAGCCACCGCGCCCGGACTGAGTTGCATTGCTTCTAATTGATACAAGCCCAATAAAGAAGGGAGGAAAAGAGAAGAAACAGAATAAATTCAAAATTTTGCTCAACCGCTTATAATTTCTGTGATCCAAACAAATTACTTTTTCTGTATAGTGAGCATAATCCTACCTTGCAGAGTTGTTCCAATAATTAAACAATATCACATACGCAAAATACTTAGCAGGCTGTAGGCATACTTTTAAGTGGCCATTTTTTTTTTATGGAGTACACTGGTGGGAAGGGGCTAGAGTCTTGGCCACTCACTTACTAGAATAGTACAAGGTAGTGATCTTCCAACTGGGGTATGCAAAACCCTGGGAATACAGAAGGCTCCTCCAAAGAGTCAGAGGTATGAATCCTCCTAAGAGAATCAATGTCCAGATCCATTATTTCTCGATGTAATCTATTCTAAACTTGACCTGTTTAAGAACATTTCTGTGTGTGGTGAAGGCTGCACACTAGCAACATTTCCTTTCCTACTAACTTTTAAAAAATTAACTCCTCCAAGTTATCAAAAAAAAAAAAAAAAGAAAGGCATTCCTTTTACCTATCACAAATTTGCTATGTTGCATTTCTCTATTGCAATAATGATCTAGGCTGTCAAGCAAGGGACAAGTTGAAAAATTGTTATGCATAGAGTCCCTTTAATCAAGGTAGCATAACACTCCATCCATTCTACTAAAAAGGTACATTTCCAATACAAATCTACTTGTTAGAGTTAGTGATAATTTATCAAACTCTGTAATTTTTTTATTTTATCAATTGACTATTACTAATAATATAATAACAACTCAATCAAAAGGAATGTTTAACCCTCAGAGCTTTATAGTTGAAATAAATTATTTAAAGTTCAATTTTAATTTATATTCACATTTTTGATACAGAAAGTATGAGAGGATGATCAATAAAAGACTTTCAAGCATGAAAAATGTTATATTATGATAATATTCTAGGGTAGTAGTATAATAAATGTACAATTTTGAGCAAAAAAAAGAAGGGATTGTTCATGAGTTTTTTTAAATTAATGGTTCTGGGTAACATATCACCATGGCATTTAGATTCCCTTGGAAACATTTAAAAGCATAATCTAACAGTTACATTTTTAAATTATAATATTTATAATATGTAGAAAATTACATCCTTCTCAGCCACTTAAACTTATTATTAAAAATGTATAAGATGGTATACAGTAAAAACACAATTTTCTGGTCCATGTATGCAATACAAGTTAGTCTACAGACCCCTTAGGCAGAGGTTAAGAGCATGGAACTTTTCAAATCAGAAAGAACAGGCTTTGAAATCAGTCTCCACCTCTTGATTTTTAATGACCCACGTTCAACTTAACCTCTCTGTGCCTCAGTTTCCTTATCTTTAAAATGGAGATAAACACGAAAGAATTAAACGAGATAATGCATCTAAAGTATTTAGCCTTGTGCCTGGCTTTTGGCAGCTATCATCATCACCATCTTTACTGCATGTGGGGAAGACAAGGCAAGAGAGGCCTCAGTGTGAAAAGAGGATCCAAGAGTTACACTGCAGACTTGAAGTAACATTTCTTCAAAGAAAATATATACAAATGGCCAACAAGTACATGAAAACATGTACATTATTAGCCATTAGGGAAATGTGAACCAAAGCACAATGAGATACTCTTTCAAACCCACTAGAAAAGCTGGAATCAGGAGGGAGAGAGGGAGGGAGAGAGAAAGGAAGGAAAGAGAGAGGGAGGGAGAAAGAGAAAATAAAAAAGAAGGGAAGACAAATGTTATGTTAGCAAAAATGTGGAGAAATTGGAACCCCTCATACACTGCTTGTATGAATGTAAAATGGAGCAGTGGCTATAGAAAACAGTTTAGTGATTCCTTAAGAAGTTAATTACAGAATTTCCATTTGACCCAGCAATTCCACTGTTAAGTATATATCCAAAAGAATTAAAAACAGGTATTCAAACAAATATTTGCACACAAATGTTCACAGCAGCACTATTCACAATAGCCAAAAGTTGGAAACAACCCAAATTTCCATCAACAGATGAATGGGTATGGTTAAACAAATTGTAGCTTAACCACACAATGAAAGAGTATTCAGCCATTAGAAGGAATGAAGTTCTGAAATATACTACGATGTGTATGAAACTTGAAAACATGCTAAGTGAAGAAGCCAGACACAGAAGTTCACATATTATATGATTCCATTCATATGAAATATTCAGAATAGGCAAACCCATTAGAATTGCCAGGGACTGGGAGGACAGGGAACAACTGCTTAATAAGCAGAGAGTCTCCTGTGGAGTTGATGAAAATGTTTTAGAACTAGATAGAGGTTAAGTTTGCACAACATTGTGAATATACTAAACACTATACAGATTTGAAACCTTGCATTTCACATGTTGTATGTTTTATGGCAACAATTCTTCAATAATGATAACAAAGATGGTCACTTACCCTCAGTGTTTCCTTCTTGTCTCCAGGTTTTATTAATGCCTTGAGAAGCACTGGCTATCAATAATATCTAAGAAAGTTTAACAGTCAAAGCATAGCTGCTGTTCACAGCTGTAAAGCCGCACTGTAGGGAGGTTGCTTTCTCTGAAAGATGATGTATTTCTGAAACCATAGTTACAGGCAACCCTCCAGATTGCAAAAAGATTACCTGCAGCAACACCATTTTGAGGACTTTAAAGGGGTCATCCTACTTTTTAAGGAGTAGATGGAATCCTCTGCTTCATAACAAGCTCTTACATCACAAGAAGAGCTGAGGAAAAGAGAAGGAAGAGAGACTGATGGGGACACAGCATTCTTGTCCAGGGGGCAGGGCTTGGGGTTTTAGGAAAGTTAGACTGGGAAAGGGGACTTGCATAATCATTGAACAGTGCAAATTGCCCAAACGTGGCCAAACTACTTACCTGGTTGCAGTCTGTGGTGAGAGTTGGAGTCTCTATGAGATTCTTGCATGTAGATTCCTGCTTCAACATTTTCTCTCTGGGTAACTTGAGGCAGATTGCCTAATCTATGCAAGGTTCCGTTTTCCTCACCTGTAAAATGAGGATAATAAAATCTACTTCCAAGAGCTTTTTTGTGAGGGTAAAAAGATACAAGGTAGTTTTCCCACAAACTTGTCTGAGAATGACAATCACCTAGCATGCTTTCTAAATAATAAGTTTTTGGGCCCCATACCAGACATGGATCTGGATCATAGGGTACAGGGAGAGGGCTGGGAATCATATTTTGAATGCCTTCCTGGAATGATACTTAGCGATCTAGCTAGAATGGGAAATAATAAAGCTCTTGGTACATAAGTAGTCAAAAGTGTTATTTATTATGAATATTTTAGATTATTATTTTGGTGGTTATGGTAAACATTTAAACGAGGTGTCCAAGAAATCAAAATAATTAATAAAAAAAACTAAAAACCCATTTGAGTGTTCTTTTCCTCATATTATACAAATAACTGACTTGACCAATTTTTCTCCATTCAACATACTAAAATTGAGAAGGAAAAAATAATAACAATTTAAGCTTCTGAAAAAGATTATAACACTGTCAGCAATTAGGACAGCCATTTGAGGACAGTTTCTTTTTGGCAATAGGAGAGGAGGTAGAAATTCTAACAGATAAAAAATCTCCGCCAGTTCCCTATTGAGATTTCTCATGAGTCAATGACAATTTTAGTATTTTCAAAGAATAACAACTCTTTGATCTGAGGGTATGCTCTTTATTTTATCAGTTTGAAAGAGAGTCTGATGTCCCAACTAGATCCAGTTAATCCCCCCACTACATTGACTTTTAAAATTTGATTGTGGGCCACAGTAAGGAATATATTTTACATTGTATTTCAGCTATATATGTATCTGGAATAATACCATTATGTATCCTTATAATGTGCTATGCATTTGGATATTCTCTATTTTTTTCTTTTCTTTTTTTTATTTTTAGAAATTCTGGTTGCAATCCACTAATTTCTTTCACAACTACTAATTTGTCCCAAACCACTAATGGGTTGCAGCCTAAAATTTGAGAAGCACTGACCTAACATATGCATCTGAAGTTATTATTTTCACCTTCTCACAAATTGTGAATCATAAAATGACTGGTTTGGATTAAAAATAAGCCAGAGAGCCCAGGCAATGTGGCTCACACCTATAATCCTAACATTTTGGGAGGTTGAGGCAGGAGGATGGCTTGAGCCCAAGAGTTCAAGACCAGCCTGAGCAACATAGTGAAACCTCATCTATACTAAAAATAAAAATTAGCTGGGTATGGTGGTGCATGCCTGTGGCCCCAGCTACTCAGGATACTGAGGCAGAAGGATTACTTGAGCCAGGAAAGTCAAAGCTGCAATGAGCTGTGCTCCTGCCACTGCAGTCCAGAGTGACATCCTGTCAAAAGAAAAAGAAAGAGAGAAAGAAAGAAAGAAGGAAAGAAAGAAAGAAAGAAAGAAAGAAAGAAAGAAAGAAAGAAAGAAAGAAAGAAAAGTTTCATAATCCCAGTTTGCAAATCACCAAAGAAAAGAGATGAATCAGTAAGTTGGACTATAACAGAACTTAGTGTTCTCATCTGGGTATTTCTGACTTACATAGGCAAAACCTGAAACTCCATGTAGGAAGCTATGTTATGACTAACTTACAACTTTGGAGTTTACTGTTAATTACAAATAAAACAACTGCAAAAACTCGTCTGTGTATGTAGGCCTTCTTGAAAGTGAATTTGAATATCTGAAACAGCTTATGAAATTATGATCTGAGCAACGTGTCCTTTGAGGGGAAACGGCAAATGTGTGGAAAGGCTGTGCCTTTATTATTACATTGATAAAGAGTTGGCTCCTTTGTTTTATTATTTTCTCTCATGCACTTTTTTCCTTTCCTTTCATAAACTCTTTGTCCTAGGATTTGGCACTATAAATTTCCAACATTATGTGATAAGTAGTTATGCTATCATTTGCCCTACGTGCTTTCTGCATTGAAACAGGTTTACCACATGTGCTTCTTCAGGTCTTACACTGGGTTTAGATATAAGTCAGATTCTTAATCTGGAAATGAAAGAGGGGAAAACCTACAAGCATTAAAGAAGAGTCATGAACATGGGCTAATAACTACATCTGAAAAAGTAGAAATAATCTCTTTTCTTTATTCAAATGTGAAATATATGGCACATAAGATAATAAACTCTCTTTATTCACACCTATGTTTACCAAAACTTGACATTTAGCCATATTTGCTTCAGATATTTTTAAAAAACATTACAGCTGCACGTGAATCCTTCTATGTGCCTCAATTCAATCCTATTTCCCTTTGTTTTTGCAATTATGTGAACATTGTAATTTTATTCAAGGATGAATCCATGAAGTCTACAATATTGCATGTTTTAAAGCTTTATTAATGGTACCTTACTACATGCATCATTCTACAATATATTTTCATGTTTGCTGAACATTTTTCAATATTTTATCAACAACTTCATATATGTAGCTCTAACTTACAAATTTAACCATTATATATTATTTCACATATGAATCGCCACAATATATTGTAAACCGAAAATAAAATTCTAAGCCCTCCCCTCTCCTTCAACCATCTGAATGGACCCCTCCTCTCTTCCAAGGGCATTCCAGAGTTAACCTGATAAAATAATTCAGGCTATGATGGAAGAGGGATCAGACGAGCCTCATTATAACCTCCAGCATTAATATCAACACAGACCTTAAATTTGATAAGGAACATGTACAATGTATTTTCTCTAAAGCCTTCTACTTGTAGGCTTCATCTGCATGATAAAACCTTGGTCTCCACAACTCTTTATTATAACCCAGACATTCCTATCTTGATGATAACTCTTTCAACAAATTACCAATCAAAACCATTTTAAATCTACCTATGACCTGGAAGCCCCTCCCAATTCTAGTTGTCCCACCCTTCCAGGTTGAACCAATGTACATTGTACATGTATTGATTAATATATTATATCTCCCTAAAATGTACAAAAGCAAGCTGTACCCTAACCACCTTGGGCAGATGTCATCAGGACCTCCTGAGGCTAGGTCTCGGGTGCATCCTTAACTTTGGCGAAATAAACTTTCTAAATCGATTAAGACCTGTCTCAGATACTTTGGGGTTCACATATTAATGCTGTTAAACATACTTAGGTTATTGCCACATTTTCACTATTAAAATAAATGTAATGACAACAATCTAGCACAAGATACAGAAATGTAGGATCAGAGGATATGTGTGTCTTCACATTTACTAGCTATTGCCAAATTACTCTCCAAAATGGTTTGAGAATTTTTATTTCTCCTTATCTTTGTTGATGAAAAGAGTTGAACTATGTAAAATATTTGAAGGGATTTATTCTGAGTCAAATGTGAGGACTATGACCTGTAACACAGCACCCAGGATATCCTGGGAACATGTGCCCAAGGTGATCAGGCTACAGGCAGGTTTTATACATTTAAGAGAGTCATAAGACATCAAATAAAATATGTGGGGCATGCATTGGTTCAGAAAGGTGGAACAACTCAAAAGGATAGGGAGTTTATAGGTCATAGGTTCATACATGGATTCAAAGATTTTCTAATTGGCAGTTATTTGAAAGTTATTATCTAAAGGCCTGGAATCAATAGAAATGAGTGTCTGGGTCAAGATAAGGGATTGTGCAGACCAGGGTTCTTATTATGTACATGAAGCCTTATCAGTGGCAGCCATTAGAGACAACAGATGGCAAATATTTCCTATTCTTCCTCTAAAAGGGGCTAGACTCCCAGTTAATCTCTTCAGAATTGGGAGGGCCTAGAAGCGGGAGAGATCTAGTTATGTTAGCAGAGATTCTTTACAGAACCAATTTTTCCCAACAAGAACAGTTTTGCAGGACATTTTAAAAGAAGACAAAAAACGTATTTGGGGGTGAAATATTTTGATTACCTTCTTTATCTGTCACGTGATATTACATCAGAGTCAGGTTGGAAAGTAAGCCATGTTATATAGGGTTAAATAAAACTTATCTGATGAAATTTTATGGTTTGTACAAAGTGACTCCCCAGCCCCTTCGACAGGAATTTGGACCAGAAGAAAAAGGTCAGAGTTCAGTCCTCATCTTGAACAACATTCAATATTGTCAGATTTTCTATTGTTTTCTACCTGTTGGGTATGAAATTATATTTCACAGTTGTTTTAAATTTGTGTTTCTGTAATAACCTTTAGAATGGTTAACTTCTGTTTGTTTTTCATTCAGTTGTCTTTTGTTTTATATTATGTAAATATTTTAAATATTGTGGATATTCATTTTTTCAGATACACACAACACAAACACACACACACACACACACACACACACACACATCTCCCAGTTTTATCTTCAAATATCTTTTTTCCAGTTTTGAATTTTAACTTTGCTTTTCATGTCTTTTGTTATATAGAAATTTTACTTATCAATGAATAGATTTTATCAATAATTTTCTATATGGTTTATGATTTTGTGTCCCTGTTACAAGAAATGTGTTTCTTACTCCAATTTCAATAATATAGTTTATTTTCTCTTGAGAATTTCACAGTAAATTTTTCAATAGAGGAAACTTACTTTGTGGTACAAGGTAGGAAATCTCTTTTTTTCCAACGTGAATCTGATCATATTTTATTGAATAACTCATTTACCAACAATTATATATAATGTCACTTCCTTCATACGTGATATATATTCTAGGTCTATTTCTGATCTGTCTATAGACACTGGTCTGTTTTAATATCGATGAGCCAATACTACCCTCTTTTAATTATTGTAGAGGTATAATATCATGATACCTCAAAAGGTAATTGCCCTTTTTGTTTTCTTCAAAATTACTTTGTACTTTTTTTCTTCCATGTGAATTTTAGGATCAGATTTTCAAGTTCCATTAAAAATGCTAATTGGATTTTATTACAAATGACAGATTAATTTGAGGAATATGGCAATACAGTGATATTCTTGTGAGCATGATTTTTATAATTTTATATTTTATTTTGATGTTTTTGATGATGTTTTCTCAACTACTCAAGTTAGTTACATTATAAATTATTGGGGAGTTTTTTTAAGCTCCCCAACATATGTGAATCTTTTTAAATTTTTAATATCTTTCACTCTGATTTTCTAATTTAAGAACATAAGTCTGTCTATTATCAATCCTTTGAAATATGTTGACATCTTCTTTATGAAAAACGTATTTATTTGTTTAGTACAGATTTCTAATTATATATATTAGTTAAAGTTTGTAATTTTGTTAGCTATATCTTCTACGTTCTGCATATAGAAAGGGAGTAGAGAGTTCCTGTGTACTTACTGCCCCCACACATGCAGCCTCCCCCATTATTAACTTTCCACAGAAAAGTGGTACATTTGTTACAGTCTATTAACCTACATTGACCCATCATTATCACCTAAAATTCACAGTTTACATTAGGATTTACTCTTAGTGTTATACATTCTATGGTTTTGACATATGCTTATTTTACATTTGACATAAGCTTTTATGATTATGTGTATGTTAATTTTAACTTTGTGATTTTAATAGTTTTTATTTACAACTTTTGTAACACTATGTAGTTAAAAGCATAGAGGTTTATGAGTATTATATTTTTGATGGATGGATTCTTTATTATGATGTAGTGTCCCTACAAATGCTTTTTGTCTTAAATTCCATTTTGTCAAATATTAACATTGTTATATTTGCTTCCTTTTAGTTTGTATTTGACTAATATATCTTTTTTCTTCCCTCTCCCTTTTCTCTCACTTTGTTCTAAACAAGTCTCTATAGTCTCTATATTTAATATGATATTCTCTGTATTATATTACATAAGTTCAATACATTTATGTATAGTATGATACCATATATTTGGCACTTTTTTAACAATTTATTTTGTGTTTTCTAGCAATCATTATTTTTCTTTGCTTTTGCTTTTCTTCTTTTCTGTTGTATTGATAGAGTTTTTCACTTTTTCCCTGTACAGATTTAGAAGAAATGTATCACATTCAGGCAGATATCTATAAAATTTAAACAAAAATGTTTAAGTACTAAAACATGCTTAACTCTGAATTTTCCTAAAACTTCTTAATGTTCTTCAGAATTTCAGTCCTCTTCCTGAACATAACAAGAAATTTAGCTTGCATTAACAGTGCAATAAACACTTTCTGTTTGTTTTTGCAGTGTACATTTGTATTTATTTTTATCATTTTTAATGCAAAAATTGGTGATTATTTTAATAGCCACAAGTTAATTAAATTTTGTTACCTATTTTTGCAATGTTTATACTTTTGTAATAGACTTTATTTTTTAGAGCAATTTTATGTGCATAGTAAAGTTGAGCAGAAAGTATAGAGTTCATGTGTACGTTCTGCCCCCACACATGCAGCCTCCCCCATTATCAACTTTCCACAGCAAAATGGTATATTTGTTACAATCTATGAACCTAAATTGACACATCATTATCACCCAAAATTCACAGTTTACATTAGGATTTACCCTTGGTGTTATACATGCTATAGTTTTGACAAATGTATGACATTATCGTATCATACAGAACAGTTTCACTGCTCCAAAAATTCTCAGTGCTCTATTTATCCTTTCCTTCCTCTAAACCCTGAAAACAACTAATCCTTTTTAGTGCCTCCATAGTTTTGCCTTTAGTGGAATGTCATATAACTGGAACTATACTGTATGTAACTGTTCCGATTGGCTTCAATCCCTTCGTAATATGCATTGAAGTTTCCTTCTTTTTTTTTCCATGGTTTGGTAACTCTTTTCTTTTTAGTGCTGAATAATACCCTATTTTCTGGATGTAACACTTTATTTATTCATTCACCTTTGGGAGGACATCTTGATTGCTTGTGAGTTTTGGCAATTATGATAAGGCTTCTTGAAACATCTGTGTCCAAGTTCCCATACAGACATAAGTTTTCAATTTATTTGGGTAAATTCCAAAGAAGTATGATTGCTGGATCCTAGGGTAAGAGTATGTTTAGTTTCATAACAAACTATCAAAATGTACTACAAATTGGCTGTACCATTTTGCATTCCCACCAGCAATGAAGGGGAGCTCCTGTTGCTCCATATTCTAGCATGAGTGTTCACAGCATTTCGGATTTTGGCCATTCTAATATGTGTGCTTAATTTGCATTTCCCTAGTGACATATGACATGGAGCATCTTTTCATATACTTATTTGTCATCTATATTTCTGTTTGGTGAGGTTTCTTTTCAGACCTTTTGCTCATCTTTTATTGGTTTGTTCATTTTCTTAATGTTGAACTTTAAGAATTCTTTTCACATTTTGCATAACAGTCCTTTATTAGATATGTCTTTTACTAAGATTTTCTCTTAGTTTGTGGCTTGCCTTCTCATTCCCTTGACAGAGTCTTTTTCCAAGGAGAAGTTTCTCATTGTAATGATGTCCAACTTGTCAATTATTTCTTTTATGGACCATGCCTTTAGTGTTGTATCTAGAAAGTTATCACAAAGCTCAAGGTCACCTGGATTTTCTCCTGTGTTATTTCTAGGACTGTTACAGTTTTGCATTTTACGTCAGATCTACGATCCACTTCATTGTTGTTTTTTGTATGTAATGTTTTTCCTATGAGTATATTTTTAGCAGCTGATTTGGAGAATGTGTGTGGACGTAAAGTATTTACAGACACAAAATAATTTTATTTATCCCTCAGTTTTAAATAATAGTTGAGTTGGGTATAAAATTCTAATTAACAACTATCTTGAAAATACTATTTTGCTATTTCTGGTCCTATTTTTGCCATTGTTGCTGTCAGTTTAACTGTTATATTTTGTAAATCATCTGTTTTTTTTTATCATCTTAAAGTTTTTCTCTTTATTTTTGGCATTATGTTGTTTAACCACAACATATCTAGGTATAGATGTGTTTTGTTTTTTCCTGTTTCTTCTTCTGATTAACATGTGAAGTGAAATTTTGATCTCAGGTTTCAGTTTTTTTCATATCTGAAATTTTTTTATCTATTTAGCTTCAAATATGATGTAACTGTTGGTCTTTTCATTCTTTTCCTCTGAATTGCCTATCAAACCTTTTTTTTCTATTCTCCATGGCTCTGAAGTGAGATTTCATGTTATTTTTCTCTCTGTCTTGTTTGGTCATGAATTTATTATTAATGCATTTCAATTTATCAATTCCCCCTTGATTGTATCCAGCCTACAGTTTACCTTATTCATTTACTTTTTATTTCAATAGTTGTATTTTTTATTTCCAAGATTTATTTTTCTCATAAGTATCTGTTTCTGTTTCATTTCTATTTGTTTCCCTTTCTTAACTTCTACTACTGTTTATATAGTATTAAACCTTCTTTTGTTTCTTTGGCCACTGCCTATATAATCAACTTAAAAAGACTTTGAGATTTTTCATTATATTCTCTTTATATGAAGTGAATTTGTGCTTCAATTTTTTTTTTTTTTTTTTTTTTTGATGGAGTTTCACTCTTGTTGCCCAGGCTGGAGTGCAATGACACGATCTCGGCTCACTGCAACCTCCACCTCCCAGGTTCAAGCAATTCTCCTGTTTCAGTCTCCCCAGTAGCTGGGATTACAGGCGCCTGCCACCACCCCCAGCTAGTTTTTTGTATTTTTAGTAGAGATAGGGTTTCACCATGTTGGCCAGGCTGGTCTTGAACTCCTGACCTCAGGTGATCCGCCCACCTCGGCCTCCCAAAGTGCTGGGATTACAGGTGTGAACCACTACACCCAGCTGTGTTTGTTTTATTCTTTTTTAGTGTAGCTTTCTTTGTCTGTTTTGTAATTTTATTTTGGTTGATTTGAATGGAAAAAAATTGGTTGGATTTAGTTTGATTTTCTCTCTCTCTCTCTCTCTCTTTCTCCTTCTCTTTCTCTTTCTCTCTCCATCTTTCTTCACCCTATCCAGAGTAGGAATTTTGTAATTTCTCCTAGTCTTTCTTCACCTCATCCTCAGTTCACAATTGGGTTTACAGTGGAAATTTGTGACTATTTCCTTGTTAAGAAGCAGTAACTATAACAGATCCAGCCACCAAGCTATGAAACAACTGAGTTCATTTTCTAGACATGAGCATATAGGAATGTTTCACCCCATGGCCCCTCCTCTTTCAACCCTGTATGTGTGACATTCCGTAAGGTGAAGCCCCAGGAAGATAATGGCAACAGTTTTCTTGAGCTCCTTTCAAATGCAGAAGAGCCTCACCTCAGCCAACAGAAAGCCTGGCTTAAGACCTCATCTCATATGGACTGCCAATCCATGTACTTCCAGGCTGCCACTGCCCACTTCTAACTCAGCAGGCCTGTGGTGTCAGCTTTATTCACTGCTTGTGCTTCTAATCTCTTTCCAAACCTTGAAGAACTTTATTTCATTTTTAGTCTAGTTATATATGTTAGGCTTTTGATGTGGTTTGGCTCTGTGTCTCCACCCAAATCTCATCTTGAATTGTAATCCCCACATGTCAAGGGAAGGACGTGGTGGGAGGTGATTGGATCATGGGGGTGGTTTTCACCATGCTGTTCTTGTGATAGTGAGGGAGTTCTCACGAGATCTGATGGTTTAAAAGTGACAGTTTCCCCTGCGCTCTCTCTCTCCTGCCACCTAGTGAAGGAGGTGCTTGCTTCTCCTTTGCCTTTCACCATGATTGTAAGTTTCCTGACACCTCCCTAGTCATGCGTAACAGTGAGTCGATTAAACCTCTTTCCTTTATAAATTACCCAGTCTCAGGTAGTATTTTTATAGCAGTGTGAGAATGGACTGATATAGCTTTATTATTATTTTTTATTTATTTGTGTTACAAGTAGAGCCAATGCTTCAGAATACTACAACAAAAACTAGTGGGACAAGCATTAGAACTGCAAAATCCAAGGTGCTCCAGAGCTCACAGGGTCAGAACAACCTGTTTAGATACAAGTTCATCCCTTCATGTTCATTTTCTCTGCCTACTCTGTAAACTGATCCCAGACTTCCTCAAGGTAGACCAAATGAAGATACGTATTCCTCCAGGTCTGCTTACTATTTATTTAATTTACCTGTGACTTTTTCATTTTCATTGCATAAGTAATCAACTCATTTAACCATGGGAAGAATTAAACCAACAAGGCTCAATTATGTTTTCTGCTCCATGTTGTCAAACTTTAATAGTATTTCAGTTTACCTTGCTCTTCTGATGAGGAAAATAATGTGATCATCTCCCTTAACTTCCCTATTTCATCACAATGACTTGGTAACTTGTACATGTTGCTGTGAAATCACTGGCTTAATGCTATCTAATTCTACTAACTAACCTTGATACATTTATTTCCCTTCTCTAATGTGGTACTTTCCTCTTTTGATCAATATAATCCTATAATCTATGCAAATTCTTGTAGGAATAAAACTTGCAATAATGTATTTTATTATTTTTGTAAGCACGCCTTCCTTGGAAAAATGTGTTAATCCTTTCATACAAGCAGTTTTTGAAAAACTGATATAAAGTATAAATGGGAACAAACATGACAGTTATAACAAATATACTATTGGATATATTTCATTTTTGTTCCACACAAGATATTAATACATTAACTTTATATCCTATTAGCTCTTTCAATAAGGTCAATAATTAATCATTTAATCTTTTTTTAAAAAAAGAGGTTTTGTTTCCTACTAAAATTAATAAATATTCTTTCATCTTACTGATTTTTTCTGAACAGGTCACTGTCATCATATACCTACTAACTTACTGCATATCAGAGTCTTCCTCATAAAATGGATAGGAATATCAGGAACATCACTGTGTGACTAAAGAAACCACATTATTTTTACAGTGTAGAAGAATTGCTAAGCTTTTGCCTCTTTTTTTGATTAATTTCATGCCTGACTCAGTCAGAGATTAGGCCTTGACACAGGTTATAATTAAATATTGAAATCATGAAGTGCAAGAATGTTTAATTTTTAAAATATGAGTTTTAATTTACCTCATACGGAGAATAGCTCTGGTCACCTGCAGAGATGCATTACACACTACATTGCCTAATGTAGGATGCCTGAATAAGGCTGAGCATACAGTTAAAGTAAACTAATGCAATTTACTGAACAGCAGTCAAATATTTATCCAGTTGATGAAGCAGACTTTATGTGAAACTCAGACAATAATTAAAGAGAAGCCTTGCTTAAAACATGCTTACTTCAGTTTTCACAAATACGTTATATCCTTTCTGCATCTTCCATTTTCCTAAATATCTCTGTATACCTGAAACACACCATAGTGAGTATTCTATTTTCACAAATATGTTACATCCTTTCTGCTTCTTTAATTTTCCTAAATATCCCTGTATTCCTGGAACGCTCCATACTGAGCATTCGGTAAAATTATATTGAACATATTTCCTGCTATTTCACAGTATTTTAAGTTAGAAGGGTTGATTGATTGCCAGAGCAGCCCAATTCTTCCTGTAGCTATACCTCTTGCAATGTGACTTTGCAGTGCCTCCCATCAAAGGTGGAGTCTTGTTTCCCCACCTTTTAAATTTGGCTTGTGACTTGTTTTGGCCAACGGAATGTGGCAGCCATATTGTTATGCCTGTTCTGCTTTCAGAGACTGCATGCTTCTACTTGTTCTCTTGGAACCCTACCATGAGCATGAGAAAAGCCCAGGCTATGCAGGATGGGAGACCACATGGAGCCTATCCAAGACTGGTCAGCTTCCAGCCACCCTGCTATCTTATTACAGTTAGTCCTGCTGACATTGCCCAAGCCTAACCCAAGGTGCAGAACCATCCACATTACTTGTAGAAGTAATAAATTGAGAAATAATAAATTATTACTGCTTTAAGCCATTATGTTTATAATTGTTTGTTATACTATAACAGCTAATTGAAGCAGGATTTGGAGATCTAATCCAACCTGTTCATTTTATAACTGAGACAACAGAGGCCCAGAGCAGCTAAGTACCTTGTTCACATTTACACACTGTCAACGGCAGAACCGGGTTTGGAGTTTATATTATCCATCTCTTTAGCTAAAACTTTATATTGTGCAATACAACTTGCCTTTGTCTTCCTTTTGGTAACAGAGATAAAAGGAAGTTTGCCAAGAAAATTGGAGTTTCAGCATAATAAAATGACATGTGTCAATAATGATTGTAAGGGCTTTGTATATATTTATTTTAGTCAGAATATAAATATTATCTGATAGTATTTCTCAGATACTTTTCTCTAAGTTATGTGAAGAGAATTGTGAATGACAGAATGAAGACTATTTTCAAGTGTTAAATAATCCCGTAATTTTCAATCATTGTGATATTACTACTAATCTTCACTTTTGGAATATTTCTCAAATGCTAAAGTTAACAGGGATCTTCTTAGAGCTTTACGGGCAGAACTAAATTTTTCTCTGGATTTCATTGCATCCAAAATTATCATCTGGAAGATTACTAATATATGGCATATCAGAGTCATCTCTATATTAAATATTTCAGATGACGAGCATTAAGAAATCTGTAACTACTTAGATTATGTTGAATGCATAAACAAAGGCTAAGTCCATTATGTTATAGGATGGCATGTTATAAAATTGTGTTCTAACAGATTTGAAGAATAAAAAAATTAAGATTTTTGGGCTTCTTTTTAGAGTAGCAAATATTTCTACTTTGGGTCCATTGTACCTGCAACTCTTACACTCTATAGCATTGGTGTTCAAAGTTTAGCTCATCCAAGTCACCCGGATAGCTTGTTAAACCACAAATTGCTGGGCACCACTCTCAGAGATTCTGATTAGGTAAACCTGTGATGGGGACTGAGAATTTGCATTGCTAACAAGTTCCCAGGTGAGGCTGCAGCTGCTAGCTGAGAATCTACACTTTCAGAACCTCTGCTTTATAGTTTTCAAAAATTGTTAAAATAATGTGTGGATAGTCCATGTTAAAATATATCTTACTACAATATTTTAGTGGGAGCTAAAGGAAGCATATATGAACTATATTCACAATTTACATTACTAAGTAAATTATGCAGTACAAAATCCTGTCAATCAAAATCAATGAGACAGTCACTACATTCAGAATTTGAACAGCCTTGACTTTTTATTGAGACATGCCCAGAATCTGCCCACAGACCAAGGGAGAAACTTGTTAAAAAAAAAAAAAAATGTGTACTGTCACAAGGCCCATAATATTTGGAATGCAGGCAAATTAGCTCAAATGATCATCCTCCAAAGGGAAATAATTTGCTAGAGTTTTTAAAAGGTAAAGAAATGACTACTTCCAGCCCAGAGCCAACTTTTTTTTTAATTTAATGAGAATATTCACATAACACTTTCCATGACAGCTTCTGCTTTCCATCACTCAACTCTTTGTGAAAATAGTCCATTTTTGGCTTACTGACTGTATGTTTGGGCTTAATCCAAGAATGAACTTCTTGAAAGGTTTTAAAAAATGGTTTCAGTTGTTTTTAATTCCTGACTGCTTCAAATAAAGAAAACAAACTATAAAAAGGGTAGTAGGACTTTAATTGCATTTTTTTGCATTTAAATATCAGATAACTTCCTAATGGACCTTTACATATCTATGTCCTCTACAGAAATCCCATACCTTCCTCAATTTGAAAAGACAAGTGAGATTAGAAAAAGATTGGCGGCTGAAAGTGTCCTGTGAGAAAACACACACAAAAGCATATGTGTGTCCCGAACTCTTGAGTATGCACATTTAAGAGGCGCCAGCCAACTCGATCTTTCTTCTTCTGGTAAACATGCCTCACTGGGTATTCAAAGAGCCCATTCCGTAAGAGACCATGCAGTATTGTTTATAATTTTTATCGGTGTGGTTTTTCTCACCACCTACTTAAAAGTTCATTTTTTCTCCTTTTCTCTACTTCTTTGCTTCTCCTTTCCTTATAAGAAAAAAAGGCAAACTCAGCAAACCTAAGGCATTAGACAGAGAAGACATTCTTATGAAGACTATTTTTAACATTCTCTTAGTTTACATCTTCCTCATCTTTGAAGCTGACAGTATGTATAGGGTAAAAGTTCCTGAGTACAGAACAACACACAGAGTGTATCCTGAAGTGGCAGTTTCTAGCCAAGGAAAGGCTTCTGAGACAAAGGTAGTCCAGTTCTAAACAAACATAACTTTCCTCTTCCCAAATAAAAGGGTTCTTCAATAGCTGATGATATTCATTTTTTTAATGTTTAGTGACATCTTAATACCCTTATAAACACAGTCTCTATATTTGTGTCATTATTAGATATGTTTAGTGTCTTTTAATACTGGTGGGGTTATTCTATCCTATGTAGACCTAGAATTTCTAGCTGCAAATAATTTCAAATTTTTCATGACTACTTCCCAATTAACTCCAACTCACAGTGATCCTTTCAACTCATGTGGCATCTATTTTTGCCACCACTTTTTTTTTTTTTTTTTTTTTTGAGACGGAGTCGCACTGTTGCCCAGGCATGAGCGGAGTGGCACAATCTTCTCGGCTTTTTGCAACCTCCACCTCCTGAGTTTAAGTGATTCTCCTCCCTCGGCCCCCGCAGTAGCTGGGATTACAGGCGCCCACCACCATGCCTGGCTAATTTTTGTTTAGTAGAGACAGGGTTTCACCACGTTGGCCAGGCTGGTCTCGAACTCCTGACCTCTAGTGATCCACCCGCCTCGGCCTCCCAAAGTGCTGGGATTACAGGAGTGAGCCACCGCGGCCAGCCGCCACCACTCTTTTCATATTTATTTGAAATGATCTTGTGGTGTTGCTAGCTAACTTTTTGTGAACATGTGTGCTATCTACCTAATTAAATTGTAAGTGCCCTGAGGACAGAGAGCTGAGGGAATTTGAGGTGTCACCATAACTTACACATGAAGAACACTCCGTGAGAGTGTGCTGACATATAGGTGGGGATGGCTGAGTCAGCCCTCTAACCTGGGAGTGGGGATGGCTGGAGTGAATGAAAAGGATATCAAAACATGCAGAGAATGATTCCCTATCCTATTTAGGGTTTCCTTGGCTAAAAGCAAACCCAGGACAGGAGGCTGGAAGAGGAGGGAAGAGCAACTATGTAATGATCTACAGGAATTACTCCCGGCTGAAGAAATGGCATATGGAAAGAATGGCAGTTAAGAGGTACAAAGGGAGAAATATCTACTGTGTAACAGGTATAGTTGCAGCCAACCAACTGTTTTGGTGCCTTTTAGTGAGCTATATTAGTCTGTAAGGTAGGAAAAGGGCGGTACCCTAGAAGGAAAGGCTGACTTTAACACCAGGAATGCACAAACACATGCTGAGGTTGTGCAAGGAAAAAGCTGGAAATAGGCCAAGGAACTTCATTTATGCCAAGTCATTAGAAGACTCATCCTCTCAAGACACCCTTTATACTATATGCCAGGAATAGTATCTGTCCTTGCCTGGCCAGATGTCCAACTGGCTCCTTTAGCTTTTCTATTTCTGTTAGCTATATAGTGAAAGAGTTTTCCCTTTTAAAATCAGACTGTTGTGATTATAGACAGAGGCCGTGGGCAGATTTGCTAGTCGTTTGTCTACCAAAGGGTCTAGCCCTTCTATGCTGAAACGTTCTTCAAAGAATAAGTGAATGCATTACTGTTAGGGGAAAATATGCATTCACAGTTATAATTAAGATAATCTTTTAAATCATTTTCTGATGTGCAAGCTTGTTCTTTCCCACCTTCTCACACACACATCTATTTATATATGGCTTAGTGCTTATGCCATCATATATGTGTGCTGAAGGGTGATGCAGGTATTATATCTTGGAATTGAATAGTTCAGGTCCAAGCCTCAGTTTTATCATTTAGTATTCAGAAATAAATATATGCACATATGTGAGCATACATATGTTTACTTAGTATTTTGTAACTGTCCCCTAGTTATTAATTTGCTTTTCTACATGTAGAGTACTTTTAGAAAATATGAACTCGTGCATTTCCTACAACAGTTGAGTATATTATTATATACTGTTATATATAATATTTATATTGGTTGAGTATATAATAATGTATAAACATTATTATGGACTCAACTGTTGTAGTTTCCTACAAGAGTTGTAGCAAATAAGAGTTCATATTTTCAAAACTGTCTACATGCTAAAATAGAAATCTACACTGAAGCATGCCAACTGTTTAACTATGCAAATAAATGTCATAAAATAATTTAGAAGCCTAAATTAAGAATGTTGTATCTAAGTGAAACAACTGCGGGAACAGAGATCAACAGAAATTAATTACACCCAGGAAATTTGGACAGGACATCAACAAGAGCATGGACCATGAAATCTTCAGTGACCCAAACAGTTAAGAAATTGCAACCAAGAGCTATAACTTTCATCCAGAGAGACAGATGCTTTCACCAAGTGTGATAATTTTTTAATCCTCATATTCTGTCATGACTCAACCCATGTGGCTAGGGTGAGCAATGCTTACTGACTCACATACTAGTGTGATGGGGGTAGTTGTGGAGTAGTTACTATTCTTTCTGTGTGGATGGGTATTTCGAGATTTATGCAGCAGGTATGTAGAAAAAAAAGATAAACATGGGTATTGGTCAAGGCCATCATGCTACACAACTACGGGAAACACCATTTCTACTATCGTGTGTGTGTGTGTGTGTGTGTGTGTGTATATCTCCTTCTTCCTTAAATTTGGCCATGAAGAGCAACAAGGCTATATAAGGAGGCCTGACTTGGATTCTGGTTCTACCACTGCCACTTACCAGTTATATGAACTTGAACAAATCATCTCACCTTCCTGAACTCTAAGAACTCTAAGGTTTCTTGGTTTATTCTGTGTGCTGTGGAGTCGTTTGCCAATCTGGTGAAAGTTATAGATGCTTCCTCAGAATAAGGTTTTTAATGGCATAAAATAATACAGAATGTTGAAGAATCCAATTATTATTTTTTCTAATGTAGTAATAAATGTGTTTATTATTATATTAAATATCATTATCAAGATATGGGTCCCATAAATACCATAATTTTGAACTATAATGAAGGTAAACAATATTTTGAGATATCTGCAACTGTAATGTGATATAAAAATATATCTGTTGACAAAATTATAGATACCTATACTATTATTGCTATTTATTGCTTACGTTCATTAAGTAAGTAAATGCTAAATTTCAGTTGGGGGTTAGCAAAAATGAAGGGTAATTTTTTCCTGATGTAAGTTCAAGGACTACTTTTATTTTATCTATGAACCACAAGTTAAAAACCATTCCTCGGCCAGGTGCGGTGGCTCATTTCTGTAATCCCAGCAATTTGGGAGGCCGAAGCAGGTGGATCCCCTGAGGTCAGAAGTTCGAGACCAGCCTGACAAACATGGAGAAACCCAACCTCTACTAAAAACAAAATAGAAAATTAACCACGTGTGGTGGCACATACCTGTGATCTCAGCTACTCGGGAGGCTGGGGCAGGAGAATCACTTGAACCCGGGAGGCAGAGGTTGCAGGGAGCCGAGATCCCACCATTGCACTACAGTCTGGGCAACAAGAGTGAAACTCAGTCTCAAAAAACAAACAAACAAACAAACAAAAAATTGCTTTTTTATTATACTTTAAGTTCTGGGGTACATGTGCACAATGTGCAGGTTTGTTACATAGGTGTACATGTGCCATGTTGGTTTGCTGCAACCATCAACTCATCATTTACATTAGGTATTTCTCCCAGTGCTATCCCTCCCCGAGCCCCCAACTCCCAACAGGCCCCGGTGTGTGATGTTCCCCCTCCCTGTGCCCATGTGTTCTCATCGTTCAACTCCACTTACGAGTGAGAACATGCGGTGTTTGGTTTTCTCTTCCTGTGTTACTTTGCTGAGAATGATGGTTTCCAGTTTTATCCATGTCCCTGCAAAGGACATGAACTCACCTTTTTTATGGCTGTATAGTACTCCATGGTGCAAATGTGCCACATTTTCTTTATCCAGTCTATCGTTGATGGGCATTTGGGATGGTTCCAAGACTTTGCTATTGTGAACAGTGCCGCAATAAACATACATGTACATGTGTCTTTATAGTAGAATGATTCATAATCCTTTGGGTATATACCCAGTAATAGGATTGCTGGATCAAGTGGTATTTCTAGTTCTAGATCCTTGAGGAATTGGCACACTGTCTTCCACAATGGTTGAACTAATTTACACTCCCACCAACAGTGTAAAAGTGTTTCTATTTCTCCACATCCTCTCCAGCATCTGTTGTTTCCTGACTTTTTAATGATTACCATTCTAAATGGTGTGAGGTGGTATTTCATTGTGGTTTTGATTTGCATTTCTCTAATGACCAGTGATGGTGAGCATTTTTTCAAAAGTGTGTTGGATGCATAAATGTCTTCTTTAGAGAAATGTCTTTTCATATCCTTCGCCCACTTTTTAATGGGGTTGTTTTTTTCTTGTAAATTTCTTTAAGTTCTTTGTAGATTCTGGATATTAGCCCCTTGTCAGATTAGTTTTTACCCATTTATGTAAAAACAGGGAAATGACATCTGCCTTCCAGAACTCACTGAGCTTTGCTAGGATCAAATTAGGTAAAGTTAATTCAACAAATATTTAGTGGATCATTTCTATGTGCCAGGCACTGTTTTAGGGCCTAGGGATACAGCAGTGAACGTAAGAGACACTGTCTAATGGAATAAATGTTTTAGATGTGGATGCCAGACATTAAATGTATATGTTGTGAGAGGGGATGGTACAGTGATAAGAAAAATAAACCAGGAATATGTACAGGAGAGATGGAGGAAAAGTCTCTGTGCTAAGATGCCGCTGGAGCAGAGACCTGAAGGAAGCAAGGGACAAGGAGCCATGGGGATGCCTGGGAGAAGAGTCTGTAAATAACAAGTGTTGTAGCATTACCTTTCATCTAACAACAATCAGTGAGCAGGTGGTAAATTGAAATGTAAGCCAACATTACTAAGTAGGAAAATTAAAATATGTGGACTTTTGGGTAGAATTATGAATTTATTCCATATTAGCATATAAATTATTTTATATCCGTATTTGAAAACTTTGTTTCTAGGCCGGTCATGGTGACTCATGCCTGTAATCCCAACATTTTGAGAGGCTGAGGCAGGAAGATCGCTTGAGCCTAGGAATTCGAGATCAGCCAGGGCAACATGGTGAAATCCCATCTCTAAAAAAATTAAAAATTTTTAGCCTGGCATGGTAGCGTGTGCCTGTATTCCCAGCTACTCAGGAGGCTGAGGTGAGAGAATGGCTTGAGCCCAGGAGGTCAAGGTTTCAGTGAGCCATGATCATACCACTGCACTCCAGCCTGGGTGACAGAGCAAGAGTCTGTGTCAAAAAAGAAAAAAAGAAAACTGTTTCTACTGTTTCATTATGTATGCAGTTTTTTAGTGCAACTTATTTTGTTACAAGCACTATACTTCACCAAATTAACTAATTTAATCCCAATAAGCACCCTACAAGATAGAACCTACCATTATGCTACCTTACAAATAAGAAAATGGAGGCTCAGAGGGAGAAAAGTAATTGCTCAAGTAAATACATACAAGTATCAGAATCAAGATTTAAATGCAGTCAACTTAATAAAATCTGTCTTTTTATCTATCATGTCATACCGTTCCTTGAAAATAGATACTATTCTCTGACAGGAGAACAATCCATCTTAGATATTATATTTTTAAGTTACTGAAGTACTTCAGAATTTTTTGTTAAATGAGAAAATTTTGCACTGTATTCACTGGGGAAAATGTGCAAAGAAAAAAAGCTGAGCCACAAAGGAGTCAGAAAAGAAATTCCTAATTAGGGGAAAGACAGTCATTAGAGAACACCATTAGAAAGATTATAGTCACCCATAATCTTTCTCTTTTAATATCTATTTGCGGTTACCAAAAATAAATAAATAATTAAATTTTACAAAAACCCAAAAGCTAATCAGAGATCCAGAAAAGACAATCTAAGACCTTTTTACAATGCAAGGAACAGTCCTAGGCCCTTAGATATAGGAGAAGTCTTCAGTGTGTTGAACCACAGGTTAAACTGAAAAGGCCCAGAAGTTTCATAAAGTAGGCAAGAGTACATGAATGGAAAGAACAAAGTAAATATTTTAAATCAAAACTTGCCAGTTTTAGAGACAGTGAGATTAACAATAAAAAGTTCAGATTCAACTTATAATTTATATTCTGCTTTAAATTATTTCTCTTCTCAAATTTGTTTTCTTGATTCTAGACTACTCCTCTTTTTCAGGAGTGTATTGCAACAGTTCCAGTGAGAAATAAAAATGGCTGAAGAAAATCAATAACAGTGGAAGCGGCTGGTGAAGAAAAAAAAGAATGCATGTTTAATATTGAGAGGTAGGGGAGGGTGGAGAGTGGGTGGCAAAGGGGAAAGTCCAGGTGGCCTTAGTTTCTGCCATGAGTGATGGGGTAGGTGATGTGTTAGTTACAAGCAAGATAATGAATATGAGAGAAATAGAAGATAGGTAGTGAGTAAAAATGTGGACATCTTGATTTTTAATTATTATTGGGAGATCCAGATGGCAATAACTTACAAGCAATTGAACGCAAGTCAGGAACTCAGGAGAGATATCTGAGCTGGAAATAGAGTTCCAGGAATCATCAGCATGCGGATAAAAACAGACAATTAAATCAAAGATTTAAAGCACACCCAGAGGATGAGATAGGTAAAGGAGACTGCAGTGGAGTAATTAACTACTTGAAGAGCCGGTTCCCAGTATCAAATGCCACAGAGAAGTCAAGTAATACTTCCAAGTGAGGAGTTAGGGGCTGGAGGGGACAGTGCCTTGAAGGCCTTTGACAAAGCAGTTGTGTTGATGTGGTGGCAAAAAGTCTGAAGGGCATACAGTGAGAGGTAAATATGAAGCTACAATTAGAATATAACTCATTCTATTTATGAACTTGATGGTTAAATGATAAGAAAAGGAGAGAGAGATGGTAGCTAGATGCCAAGGCAGAGTCAAAAAATGGACAGGTTGAAATTATCTGGAAAAAAAAAAAAAAGACTGATGGGGTAAGTGCCCCAAAGAAAGAAGAGAGGCGAGGGTTTTGCCTGTCAAAATGATCAGAAGCCCAACTGGAGATGAGTAAGTGGGGCCAAGGAAGCTAAAAACATCGCATTTCATGAGACTTCATGAAGAATTATACCATGTCCTGGGCAGCTATTGAATGTCCTAACGGACACTCCTATAAGTGAATAATCTGTTTTTGATGAAAATCTGTTGTACACATAAGCACAGAGCAGCTCTGTGTGGTTTTAACACACAGAGATTTTCTAGGAATACAAGTACTCTGTAATTCAAAGAAAAATTGATTTAGGTTTGTTCCAATTTTTACCAAGAATTAGTCATAATTTCAGAAATTCAGAACATCAAGAAGAAATATAATTCATGGGTTTTAAGTCACCAATAGCATGCATCTATCATTCTGTGTTCGTAGCTATTCCATTTACACAGATTCTACAAAGGTCAGCAGCCTTTGACTGGTGAGATCATACATGATAATATACATATTGAAATACATGTTTCATTATAGATTATTTCTATTTCTTTTTTCTGTTAGAATTAGGGCATTATTTTGTTTCTATTCTCTGACCCCAATTGTTCTAGTGACAACCACATTGTTGAATAACCTTGCTCCTTTGCCTTCTCTTGGTCAGCTTCAAAATATCCTCTAATAGAAACTGTAGTGTTCATCAGTGATCACCATTTGGTTATAGGTAGGGTGACCATAAAACATATTTTTCAAAGGGGATGCTTCTGAGAATGATAGTGAGTACAATTAATAATTACTTGAGGACAATAAGAATGAACTGAGACTGTCCTGGGCACACCAGAATGTATGTTCACCCTAACTATATACTACAGGTGTGGTGAAGGATTTGTAATTATTTATTCATCATGGAAGAGACCAGACGTTCTTGCTTATACCAAAGGGTGACTAAACACAAATCCTTGTGAGGGAACTACCTTTTGAGAACAGGGGCCATCATATTTTTGCCTCTCCAGCATCTGGCCAAGTGTTCAGTTCACATTTGGAAAACAGGGCTCAAACCTCAGGGTTTGAGATCAGCTTGTGGTTAAACAACCCACTTCATATCAAAGTCATCACTCAGTGATCAGAAAACCTTACATTGCTAATAAGTGGTCACTGCCTCCTGCAGTAGAAGACAACATTTAATAAAGTCACATAGGTAGTCATGTAGGAAATACCAAAGGTACTTTTACAAAAAGCAGAGGCTGTTAAAAAAATAAACATACAAGGATTAGCCTAGGCCTTTTCTTACAACCCAGCCCAAAGCTGGCTAACACTTCTCAAACTCAATATGCACATGAATAATCTGGAAATCGTATTAAAATGCATCTTCCAAGATGTTCTTCAGTAGGTGAATGGATAAATACATTATGGCACATGTGGACAATGGAATATTCAGTACTAAGAGAAATGAGCTCTTAAGCCATAAAAGGATATGTGAGGAAACTTAAAAGCACATTATTAAGTAAAATAAGCCAATCTGAAAAGGCTGCATACAGTATGATTCCAGCTACAGTAAATGACATTCTGGAAAAGGCAGAGCTCTAGAAACAGTAAAATAAGTGGCTGCCAGGAGTTGGGGGAAGGGAGGAATAAACAGGTGGAAAATAGAAGATTTTTAGGGCAGTAAAACCATGCTGTGTGATACAATAATTTTAGAAACATGTCCTTATACATTTGTCCAAACCCATAGAAGGTACAACACTCACCCTAATGTAATCTATGGACTTCGGGTGGTTATGATGTGTCTGCTTAGGTTCATAGATTGCAACAAACGGACCAATCTGGTGGTAAGGTTGATAATGTAAGAGGCTGTGCCTGTGTAGGGATGGGAGTAGATGGGAAATCTGCACATTCTGCTCAATCTTACTGTGAAATGTTCTAAAAAATAAAGTGCATTTAAGCAGATAAATAAATAAATAAAAGCAGGTTCTGGTTTGTATATCTGAGTGCAGCCTTATGTACTGTGGAGTTTGTTATTGATGTTGTGTTTTTTTTAATTGACAAAATTTGTATATATTCATGGTATAGGACATGATGTTCTAATATCTGTATGCATTAAGGAATGGCTAAATCAGGCAAATTAGCATATCTATTACCTCACATACTTATCACTTTTTTTGTTGTGAGAACATTGAAAATCTACTATTTTCACAATTTTCAGGTACAGTTGTCCTCCGGTACCCATGGGTTATTGGTTACAGGACCTCTCTTAGATGCCAAAATCCATGGATGTTCAAGTCTTTGATATAAAATGGTGTAGTGTTTGCATGTAGCCTATGTGCATTCTCCAGTATACTTTAAAACACCTCTAGATTGCTTATAATATTTAATTACTAATAAAATATCAATGCTATGTAAATAGTTGTTCTACTGTATTGTTTAAGGAATAGTGACAAGGAAAAAGTCCGTACATGCTCAGTACAAATGCAATTTTTTTCTGAATATTTTCAATCTATGATCGGTTGAACCCATGGATACAGAGGGCAGGCTACATATGATATATTGTTATTAACTATAGTTACTAGGTTGTACAATAGATCTCCTAACTGAAATTTTGTATCCTTTGACCAACATCTCCTTAATATCCAACTCCCTTTTTTCTCTGCTCTCCCCTAACCCTGTTAATCACCATTCTACTCTCTGCTTCTATGAATTCAATGTTTTTTTTCTTTTAGATTTTACATATATGTAAGATCATGCAGTATTTATCTTTCTATGCCTGGCTTATTTCTCTTAGCATAATATCCTTCCAGGGATGCCAATGCTGCTGTTCCCCAGACCACACTCTGAGTAGCAAAGGCCTTAGAGTACTTCAAATCTAGCATTGGTATTCACTTTTGCTTTTAATTGTGTACTTTCTCACATTAGGCCAAGCACTCCTCTGAGACTGTAAAGTATTTCATTCATCTTTCTGTCCCCAGGCCTTGGCTCCACACCTGGCATGGCTGTGTGCCTAGCATATGATAGTAGCTCAATATAACTTAATTGACTGAATGACAGAAATCACTGTGGCTTCTTACAGAACCATTAGCCAGTAATTTACTCCTCCCTCTTCCTTTAAGAGGACTTAGTTGATGACACTGCCTTGTTTTTGTATGCAGCACACCCATTCCTCAACACATACTTTTTCTTTTCAAAGACGATTTCTAAATGTATTTTACTTTTAGAAAACCTCCTAAACTGATTTAGGTGGCTTCTGTCTCCAGACTCTAGCTAGTAGGCCTTGCTCAATTTTACCTGTTGACTAGGGATGCTGCCGGGACCCAAACTAATAACAGCTCAAGAAACCACTCCCTGTGCCTTATCCTCATGCAAGAAGAACTTGGAAGAAAGTGAAGTAGAGAGGCCCATGCCTCCTGTAATTCAGACTTGCCCTATAACTCCATTGAAACTCTCCTGAATAAGGTCAGCAATGGCAACTGCATCAATCAAGGTCTAACCAGAGAAACAGAGCTGGTAAGAGGTAAATATTATAGGATTTACTGCAAGGAACTCGCTTATGAGATTGTAATTAAATGGTAAATTGATTCAGGGCAAGTATGAAATCTGTGGGACGAGCTATTGGGAAGGGCAGGCTGAAACTCTTGGGCAAAAGTTGATGCCACAATCCCAGGTAGCATTTCTTCTTCAGGGAAGCCTCAGCAATGTTCTTAAAGCCTTTCAGCTGATGGAATCAGGGCCACCAGGATTATCAAGGATAATCTCCCTTACTTAAAATCAACTGATTATACTTCAATCACATCTACAAAATACCTTCACAACAATGCCTATATTAGTGTTTAATTGAAAGACTGAGGAAGGTAGCCAAGCCAAATTGACCCGGGAAACTGACCATCACAGCATCCCATTGCCATGAATAAAGACCCCTTTCCAAATGCTTTGCTCATGTAGCAATGTCTGCAGCTCTCCCATTGCTGCTCCACTCTTTCAACCCCAGAAAGATGGAATGTTAGTTCTGAATCTGAATTAATGTACTTTTTTTTCAAAATAAAAAGGATCCTTACTTGTCAAAAACAAAGCAAAACAAACAAATGAAAATAAAATGATGGGACTTAAGAGGCGCCAATAAGCATGGTAGGAAGAGGCTTCTAGGACTGTTCTCTCCCATTTTTAGTGTTAGAGCAATACTCATCTCTATGACCCTTAATTTCCTTTCTCTAAATGGGAAGGCAGCCTTAGGATACTTGCCCTCCCTCCCTCCTTTTCCTCCCTCTCTCTCTTTCTCTCCCTTTCTCGTACTCACACATACACAGCCATGAATGCTCACATACTTCATTTTCTGTCTTGTCTGATAATGCCTTTTCAGCCTCTGTAACTGACTCTACTCTTTTGTCTATTAAGTTTTCGATGTTCTTCAAGTATCCTTCTAACTCTTCATTAATCAACACACTCTGTGCATTCACTCCACAAGCCCCATAGGTTCCAAAAACAGCAACTCAGGGTGTTCAGGCTGGGATTCTGGGCTAGAAATACAGTTTGAGAGTCATCTTCCACTCCCCATGCCCTTAACCTTCACACCCAAGAAACAAATTTTGTCTCTTATTCCTTAAAAATTTCTGTCTATAGGTCTCTACTTTTCCATTTCCATTGCTCCTGCTTTAATTCTGTCTTCATAGTCTTTCTCCTGATTTATTGAAATCATTCATTAGTGTCTTTAAATTAATCTTATTCCCTCCAACCCCTTTCTCTTCCCTCATCACACAACCTCCAGAGTTACTCTCCTAGAGCAAAGATCTAATTATTCCACTCCACTTCTTAAAAACCTTAAATGACACAATTTGGTCCCAAGCTCCATGTCCAATCTCCTCTCTTGTTGCAAACCTACTACAAAACATCCCCTGGATATTCCCATACTTTTTCTTCTCAGTGGCCTTGACTGTGCTGTTCTTTCTCTCTGTTCCTGTATTCTTTTTCTCATGAATTGAAGCCTTCCCTTGGACAGAGTTAACATTCCATCCCTCATGCCCACACGATGGTTTATATATATTTATGTTTTGACATCTATCACATTGTATTATGGTTCCCCTTTTTTTTTTTTTTAACCAGTCTGGCTCCTTCCAACTTCCCAGAGTCATTCTTCTTGATGTCAAGATTTAAAGTGAATTATGCATCTATATAAACTTAGAAACAAACCAGTGGTCAGGTACAGAGTTCAAGCTGATTGCCTGTTTGTTAAATGAATAAACTAATGAGTAAGTGAATGAATTAGAAAATACTATCTTTGCAGTACTGTATTGTTAAATAAATTAAGCCTACCCACAGGGGCTGTATATTCAGCATCTTTACCAGTCTTTGATTTGGCTGGTTTCAAAGTCCGAAGATCCTAACAAGTGAGGTCTAGGAAAAGTCAAAGAACTTGCCCTAGGTAGCCAGCTATTAAGTAAGAAAAAATATATAAAAATTTAAATCATAATTTCTTGCAGTGTGGTTGCCTCTGGTAAGTGAAGAGTGAGAATAAATATCTAAGAAATACTCTTTTTATAGAAGAGAAACTTCTCTATAAAATCCTTGTGAACTTCTTTTGTTAATGCTATACTGGAACATAAAAGATTCAGCACGCACTGGGGAGATGCTGCAGGATGCAAGAAGTTTAGAAAAGGAGAGAAAAAATAACATAAAGAGATTTATGCTGTAAGCCTTCCACTTCATTTTTGGTCTGGAGAGCAAAAAAAAAAAGAATAGCTCCAAGAGCCATCTTTAATAAGCAAGTATCATGTTAATAATCCAATTTATGGATCAATAAACACTGAGGAGTTCTTGCCTGGTAGCATTAATAATATCCTTTCATCCCTGAGGGGGGCACAGTCTTCTTAGATATATTTTATTTAGCTGAATTCAATGTAAGTAGAGATGACAAGCCTTGCGGCTAAATAGGTGGTCAACCACTAGCAGCTTTGCATAATGATGATAAATAGGAGGTGGAAATGTCAAATGCAAGAGGAGTATTCTTGAAGGGAGCCTCAGCAACTTCATGTTTTCAAACTTCACTAATCACTAGTTTGATGAACCTGTTTAATATGATGCATGCCTCTGTGTTAACCAGGCATACCTTTGTAGAAGTCCATATTCAACATAACAAGTCTATTTGACCACTTAGAAACACATTTGCATTTACATGTTCTCTCTGAGTTCCTCTCCCTCCTTTCAGCATGCTACACCATGTATTGTTTATGCACCCATGGTTCTGGCTGCTGAGTATGTGTGTGTGTGTGTGTGTGTGTGTGTGTGTGTGTGTTGGGCTGATTAAGCATTTAGTATGCAAAAAGCCATTCAAGTAGATTATCTTATTTAATTTCCTCAACAACCTTATACAGAGGATGAAAGGGAAACCCTAGAAATGAAGTATCTTACCAAGCTCACACAGACAATTGGTGAGGTGGAGATCTGACCCCAGATTCAAAGTAAAACAAGGACCATGTCTATATTTTTTCACCATCCCATCCCTATCACATAGTAGGGGCTCAACAAATATTTGTTGGATGAATGTATACGTCACAGTCGCACAGTTTTCTGTCCTGTCCCCCTAGGGAGTTCCGAAATCCTGGGCAATTCCAAGGCTGAACTGTTCTTCACTGACTGAAAGCAGCAGGTAAAGAGTGTAGGGAGAGGAGAGTGGCAAATTATAAGGCCGCTTGAAGGAAAGAAACCACCTAAAAAGGAACAAGTTTTCCCTCCTAACTGCTTTGAAGACTTGAAGGCACTACATCTTCTGGGCTTCTCACTGGGAGGGTCTTCCAGCTGCTGGGAGCATCACTGAGTAAATGCAGGCCAAGAAGATTAATATCAAAGTCCCACAACATCCCATTTTCCTACCTGAAACAACAACAACAAAAACACACCCTTGATTTGTTTCTACCCTTTTAGAAACATTTTATTAACATCTTTAAAATTATTGTTATGACTGTGAAACCCTGCATAAGAACTAAGTTTAAACTGTTTTTTTTTTAATTTTCATTGGTATAATGTAATGAGCTTGGAAGCCAACTAATCTGGATTTAGACTCCTGCTTCACAGAAAACAAGTTGTGTGGCCTTGGGCACAGCACTTAGCCTCTCTGAGCTACAATCCCTTTAGCTGATGTTGCTTGCCCCACAGGGTTGTTATGGAGGTGATCACATGATATAACTGAGAGACTTAGCAGCAGTTTGCAAGTGTTTAGAACCAGGCGAATTGCCAGCTCTGTGACTTTGAGCAAGCCTCTTTACTTTTCTTATCTGTAACAACTGGAATAATGTTATCTGGCTGATAGAATTACTATGATTTAACTACATGATGTATTTTAAAAGCATAGTAGAGTGCCTAATGTTTACTATGTGCTCAACACATGCTTGTCCACTCCTTTTCCCATCCCTTCCCCTCAACTCCTGAAATCTGAGTCTTCTGTCGTCACTGTCCTTCCCTTTGTATGTAACTCCCTGAACCATAATCATGTCTCCATGGTCCATTCCATAACTTACATTTGCCCATATCCTAATAACTCATAATTTGACTAATATGTCTTACTACTTTCCAGCTGCCCTGCCTCTACATCACACCTCAGTGCTATGATGTTCACCAAAGGCATTCCATTATGAATTTAGACCAACTCTTTACCATCTCCAAAGCTCTCCACCTCATCCTGAATGTCGAATATGTCTCTACCATCTTAATGTATGTCTGCCATTTTCTCAAAGCAAGCATTATCCCACTCTCTGTTTTCTTTTTTAATTTGCCTCTGGGTCTAGGATGTACCCCAACCCTTCCTAGAGTTCGTATACCAATTATTGGGAGGCTTGGAACAAGAAGAACAAAAGAAATGTTCTGATTTTCTCTGGAAGTCCTATGCTTCTCCAAAGATGTATAGATCTTCTCCCACACACCCTGTCCCTGTCTCACTGGCTCAGATTTGCAGGGTGACTCTGCTTCTCAAGTGTCTGATGAGGACATCAGGTGTCTACATTTAATAGCATTCTATAATGCTGCAAAACAGCCAGGTTAAGTTTGTAGAGCATGCAGAGAGAAACATCATGCTGCAGGAATTCTGTTTTTCAATCTTGTTGGGAGAAATTTTGCATAAAGTAAAAGAAGCAAAGCTGATGAAAGGTTGTAGAAGGCTTATGTGTTAAATGACAGCAGTCTGAATTAGACCCTTGTGGTTTTTTTAGGGGAAAAAAGCCTGGAAATTAGAGATGCTATGTAGGAAGCGGGGAGACTTAATGAACTCATGATTGTGAAGGGACAGATTGAAAGAGCAGGTTCTAAAATGGGCTCAGACTTGGGCCTGTGTGATTGGCACTGGAGTAATATTCCCCACAGGGACTACAGAGTTGAGAAGAGAAAGTGTGTTCTAGTAAAAAATTAAAACCTTGATCTTTGCCATGTTAAACACGGGGTGGTAATGAGACAGCAGGAAGCTACTTTGGTGAACCAGCAGGAAAATGAGACTTAAGTGGCTGGAGAAGTGGGACATGCAGTGGTAAAATTGACTGGTTCATCAGATAATCATACCTTTCAATTACAGAGTATTAAGCTTTACAGTTTACCAAATATTTTCATATACTTTACCTGAATCCTCACAACAATTCTGCAAAGCAGGTATTATTATTCACTTTTTACAGATAAGGAGGACTGACATTCTGAGAGACATTTGCTTTGGTCAATAAACCCATTGGTAAGTGCTGAAATTATGGTAGGAGCTTAGGTGCCCTTTTTGCCAAGCTCAACGTGGCTTCCATAATCCCAAGCTGGCCCAGTTACGAAAATTCCCTTGCTTTTTTCCCTTTGGAGGTGGAATGGCCCAAGCTTTGTGGAACGATGTTCCCTCAAAAACAGTTTATCAAGTATAACTTTTTCCTAGATGAAGGTCATGTGGCAAGTGACCAAGAGCCTTGGCTTGCACTTACAGAATTTCCCCACCCAACAGCTTCTAGCATACTGGGCGTGGAAGGAAAATCTACTCCCTTCTTCTTTTTGCCAGCAAAACCAAGCTTGACACAAGAAACCAGACTTAACCAGGTGACCCTAATTAAATTCTGACAGTTCTAAACCAATTCAGAGGGTCCCACTCCCTTTGCTTGTGATGATTGGATTGGGGTGGAGGTGCGGGTAAGGGGTGTGGCCACCTAGGAGGCACAGGTGAAGTCTGCAGAAAGGAGTTTCTTGTTTCCAAAAAGGTGATCAGGAAGAGGTGTCTCTTTTCTTCCTGTAGGAAGTACCATGTCTGAATGTGTCACCAGAACTGTATCTGTTATTAAATATTCATAAGGGGAAACCCATTGCAATAAAGATGCCAGAACCAAGGATAAATGGGAAAAAACTTGAAGACTTCATGACATATTGAAACTTATGCCTTGATAAATCTTGAAACCTTTTCTACCTCTTGACTTACCATTAGATGAAATAATGCATTTCCTTATTGTGTAAGATAATTTGAGATAATTTTATCTTGTAGAAGATAGCTTCCTAAAAGATACCATCAGCTTGAGTTTTTTCTTTTGCAAATTAATTCCCAGACTTTTGACAGATTAAATGACGTAAATATGAAGTATTTCCCAGAAATTTTTACTAGGAGACAAATTTTTAATTGCTCCTCCAATACAATCAAATATAGATATTTTTGTCAAGAAATGACCACACAAATGTGGATGTAACTAGGTTATTGTATTAAACAAAGTACAGTTCTGAAGGCAGGTTTCCATTTCGTGTAATTTTGCATGATTTTATTACCTCCATAAACATACATACCAAGATCATGATAGATATGTGATATCCATCTAGATAGATAGCAAGATAGATATAGAGACTCCTAGTCTCTGATCCTTTCTCATGGATCTGTAGGAACTCAGCGTAATTTTATAACCATCTTTGTGAATGTGCCAGAACTCTTTTTGTTCTCAGCCTATAATTTAAAATAATGTCCCAAGAGAACCTGATTTTTCTCTTTTCTTTCTTTATTCCTTACACTGCCTCTTTCTCTGTTTTATCAATACCTTCTTCACAAACATGAGTGAATCTAGAACTGTGAGCACAGATACATGCTGTCAAGAGGGAACCAATGGACTATGGATTGCTGAGAAGTATGCCTAAGATGAATAGTTGCACCTCTCTCAGGGGACTTAGGAAAAGAATGTCACCCCAGGAAAGTGCCTGCCCGTTGTAAGTGCCCTTACAGAGCACAGAGGTTCCATACACTTCGTTCTATTCAATAAACAGCAGATTGTCTCTATTCAGACTTGCTAAGATGTTAACATGCATAAAGGGAAAAAAATAGAAAGAAAACGTATTCCCTGCACCGTCCAAATGACTTTTGGTGACGCTTAAATAACAGCCGATGGCTATTTATACTAATTCCATTGTCAATTCTAATAATGTGCCAATTTTATATTGTATAGATTCACTTGTATTAAATGTAAACAGTGTCTGTGAGTGATGTGAATGCATTAGCATGATGTAAGTGATATTCATTATATATGAATTGCCAGCTCTGCTCTAGGACCTTATGGTAATGAGATGTTGCTTTTCTTGAAGCTTTCCCAGTGAGTAACCATTTTTAATAAATAAAATAAAATATGGATTTCCTAGAAGACTTCATAGTTCTTTCATTGATAGGACTATTTTTAAAAAGCAAAGCATATATCTCAAAAGTAGAGTCCTTCACATTGTTTAATCTGGAAGCTATTTCTGTCCTGTTCTTTGAAGGATTTTTCATTACAGCTGCCCACCATGGTCCTTTTAATGGACAAGGTTGGGGGTGAATGGCTAAACTATATTGTTAAGATTTCTCAGCTTTTGGATTTCCCTTGTTGGTTTGGAAGAAAAAAATATACTCTATTTCATTTGAAACGTATAAATAATACCAAATTCCTATTTGAAGTTGTTAGACTGTGATTACCAGTAGAACTATAACCTTACTTATGCAAATCACCAGAGTTCATGGTAAGTCTGACATTTACAGAATTAATGAACTAAATAATTAAGTGACCTAGTAAGCGAATTGGTAAACCAGAACTATTAATCTTTTAATGAATTCTTTACTATCACTTAAATAATAAATTTTTTTGCATAATTTTAAAGGATTACAGTAAAGAAATATTAGAATAAGAAACCCATTATATGAAGGAACGTTACTTTTATAAATCCGTCATTATGTCTCTTTTTATTGAATTCATTTCTATTCAGGTTTAGAAAAGTGGCAATTTCTATATTGGTGACTAACAGTCCCCAACTTCGAAGTTTCTTTTTTCCCCCTCACTGAGACAGAGGGTTTAGGATCATTTACTACTTAAAAAAAACCACAGCCTAAAATGAGTAATTAGCATACAACTATAATTTCAGAAATCCCCTATTTGATGGTGCGCATCTCATGTTTCAGAATTTCCAAGCTCTTGTAGGTTAACTAGCACATAAAATAAGGCCTTTGCACTGGCTCTCTTCAAAAAGCATTTCTCTATTCTCCACAAATAACTATCTTTCTCTTCAAATATCTTACCTTTCTCTTCAAATATCCTTTTTAAAAAATCATATCACAGCGGTTAAAATAACTATACTGGACTAAACACAACCAAAATTTAGAACACTGAAGTGTCCAGGGTTATACTGGTAAATAATGAGAGGGAAGTGACAAGATTAGGTTGGGTCTTTAGTGTCCATACTAATTGCTTGCAAAGGACTGTCCTGGGTAGAATGAAAGATAATTGAATAATAAGTGTTCAATACCTTCCACTAGAAGGAAAAAATTAAAATGCTTAAATAAAAAGAGAGAATAGCAAAAGAAACATCTACAATGGTTTTCCCAACCCATATGAAAAAAGAAGCTGATTATGGCTTAAATCAAACAATAAAGGTTTATCAAACAAGTATTATGTATTGTCACTGTGCTAGGGACAACAGGACATACAGAAGAAAAAACAGATGCAGTCCACGAACTGGAAGAAATTATAATTTAAGTGGAAAGAGTTCACTGAAACACACAAAACTAATATCAAACTACCTTGTGAGAATTAACAATAGTCCAAATGATTGCACACACAATTGTTTCACACAAATTCTACATTTTTCAGTTTATTAGGCTGGGGAGATCGACTCAAGTAGCTTTAGTCAGCAGATATTCTAAGCACCTGCGAACCTCTATTTCTGGCTACATATCCTGCAAATCTTCCTGATAGAGAACATCTAGAAATACTGCATACAATATAATAATATTCTTTTAAATGCAGAGCTGAGCTTGCAATAACTTAAAGAAAATTCTCAGGATCCAGTGATGACAGAGGATTTCAAACCAAAGTAGACAATGAAGCTGACTCAATGGGTGCCCTTAAGACACATGCCAGTTCTGATCACCAATAGCCTCCTAGGGATGGGAAAATGCCAGTCTTCACAGAAAGTAGACCAGACAGCTGGCATGAGATCCTCACATAGAATTGGGACCTACAGATGACTATTCAGTCAATGAAATTGTGGACTAAGAAAAAAAATCCTCCCATTGGCAAATGGAGATGAAAAATATTTTCATCTAGGCCTGGGTTTCCGATAAAGTCATCACTGAGAATTTGTAACTTTACTCAGATTTAAGGATCAAATTTATTCTTCCTGCCAAGCTTGGTAAATCCCAAACCAAGAAGTAACATAAATCATCCCCAAGTTGATAGCATTCTAGGACACTTAGCCGAAGCAATGTAAGTCCTCTTGTGAGAGACTTACCTTTAACCCATGTCCTGAAAGATCCCCCAGAAGTAAAGGAAATAAAGTTTTAAATATAGCGAAACTTGAGCCATAAAAGATATTAATTTAACAGAAAAGGCGATGGCGAGGTCCCAGGAGGTAGAAACCATGGGTGCATCCTCAAAGTGGGAAGGTCATGTGGTTCTGGTCCTGGAATGCTGAGGAGAATAAGCTTAGCAGAGAGTAAATGGTAGAAATGGCTGCTCTTTTGTTCAGTTGGTGAAAAACCTTTCATTTTAAAAGAACTTACATCATCAAATCAGTGAAAAAAATTATCAGACCAACTGGTATGTCTAACAATGGCCTTAGTTCACTTGATCAATCTAAATGCTCATATTAGAGAAATGACTGTTGATTGGGCAGGTGGGCTTCTAAAAAATGAAATATGTTTGAAAAAATTATTTTCCTCTGGCCACATGCTAAGTATTCCACATGTATTGAATATTTTTCTTACTTCTTGAGTTTGCTACTCACTAAGTTCATGATTAGTTGGACCACAAGCCAAACAAGTAACAGGAAAATTATTTGCAAAGATAATTGAGAGGCTGGTAAATGTACCACCTGAGGACACAGCTCTCGAGCTCAAGTATCTTTAGATTTTTGACCTAAATTGCTCAATCTCTACAGACCAGGGCTTGGGACCCCTAAGTGTGTTCTTGCCCTTTTCTATGGTCTGAATGTTGGTGTCCCCCAAAATGCATATGTTGGAACCTAATATCCAATATGAAAGTATTAAGAGGTAGGAATTTAGGGAAAGCGAGTAAGTCATGAGGGCTCCACTTTCATGAATGGGATTAGTGTCCTTATAAAAGTGGTTCAAGGGAGCAACCTTGCTCCTTCTGCCATGTGAGGACAAAGCAAGAAGGTGATATCACTGAAGCAGAGAGCAAGCCCTCACTAGACGCTGAATCTGCTGGTACATTGATCTTGGACTTCCAAGCCTGTAGAAAGTTCAGCAACAAATAACTGTTGTTTATAAATTACCCAGTCTAAGGTATAGTTATAGCAGGCTGAACTGATAACATCCTCCAAATTGCTCTTATTATTTTTGTGAAAGAGTAAGGAGAGGAAAAATGACAACACCTAGCTTAATGCTTTGCACATAGAAACACTTAACACTGTTACATTAATTAACTGTTAGTGTAAACTCCTATCTCTAAAGGAAAGTGAGGCCCATTAATATAAGGACCTATAGGGGAAGGTTCACAAAGCAAGATCAGGCAAGACAGCAGAGAACCTGCCAGGAGCAATATCCCCAGTTGGATTTTGTCCTGTTGTAGCCAGAATGAACTGGACACTCCATAAAGCTTTGTTAAATTCAAAATATATTTCCTAGAGTATGGTAAACTATTTATACCACAGAATAAAATGGACTGGGCATCATACTGAAAAGTCAATGCATGCCCTATTGTTAAACTTAGATTTGGTAGAAGTACCAATTAAAAAACAGTTTCAGGTTAGAATGGACCTCAGAGTGGGTATTCTCCAGGGGATTTTCACATGCTCATTTGGCGTTGAATGAAACTTAAACTTTGAAAAACAGGCTTTGACATCACATTTTTCCATCAAGTCCTTTCTTCACACAATATTTTAATCATATCAGAAGACTTGTCAAATAGACTCAGTTTCACTTACTTTAGTCATTTACTTCAAGTTCGTTGAGGAATGAGTATTTTTAAGCTATAGATGTTATCGTATTCACAGATGTTTTTATACTTGACAAGCTTCTGTCCCCAGCCTCAAACTTCGCAGGGAGTACAATCCAATTGTTTTTAATGATTATCGTGTCAGTGGGCACAAAGGTCACATGACAGAGTGTACATTGCCATACAAGGATTCAGGCAAGAACTATCAGCATGTGGGGGAAGACATTTGATAACTTCTCATAGATGAAAATATATATATATTTTAAATTTCACTGGGAGTAGTATTGAGCAGGCATTGCAGGAAGAGCTGTAAAAAAAATACACCAGCAAAACTAACATCAGAAAGTCTACAAAGTTGAAGGGAAATAAATCTTCAGAAAATAATCAATCCCATATTTTAAGTATATGCTTTATCAAAAATATGTGGAACTTAGAAATGATCAAACAGTGTGTACAAGGGTGTATACATACCCAGCAGGTGTTTATCATCTCAATTTGTTCAATAGAACCAGAAGTGGAAAAAAAGTCTGTCAAGTCATTTAAAAGATTTAATTTCTAAGCTATAATTTTCAGATTAGAAATCTAATCTAGTCTGGGCTGTCTTTTTTTAAAAAAATGCATTTCCTATCCTAATGGTCAAATCAGTTGTGTCATCTAAGGATGATATCATAAACACAGTGTTGTTTATGATGTTTTAAAACTTGAACTGACATTCTAGCTAAACGAACAAAAGGAAGACCAAAGAGGGAAACTTCAGAAACAGTCCTGTGAAAATAATCCTTGGCATAAGCCCACCTCTATTAGTGGGTACTACATTGGACCATAGTCTAGAAAACTGTCGTTATGATTAATTCCCATCCCTGCTGCTGAATCGATCATGCAGTGATCTGCATTGATTATTAAGGTGGCTGAAATAACTGGATCAGACATGGCTTACCAGTGCAAATTGGCTAATTCATCAACACATAAAGATTTCAGAAGACCTGTTAATGATTGTCACATATCACCAGGAAAGGAATTACCCAGTACTTATCAAATCTGCTGGGCCCATTTTTACTGACATACATTGTATTTTTAAAATAAACACATTTTAATTTAGAACTATAGACTTGACATTCTTCACAATAGTAAAAACCTGTATTTAATCCCAAATCACTTAGGTGTAAATCAAAATACTGGCTTCTTGGTGGTTGAATTGTCTCCCAGAAGAACCACTGGGGTGATCTACTCTTTTAATATGGCTTGCTAGTTAGTTAGTAGAAACTTGTGACTTTTGGTTACTGTAAAACAAACCAATCTTTAATTGCAATAGGCCTTCATGATCAATTTCCTGAGACTCTGAACTTAATGTAAAGCAAAATTAACTTGGAAAGATCCACTTGTACTTCTATTTATAATAAAACCTTCTAGTGCTTCACATTATTCTTCAACCATATACATTTTATTTGAGAAGTTAAAATAAAGTTGAGTCCCAACACAATTATGGAAAGCTAAGTTCTGAGCCTAAAGAAAAATTGCAAAAAAAAAAAAAGGCATGTGAAGATTTAGGTGTTTCATGCCATCCTGTGCTGCTCTAAGTTATTTATGTGTCTATAAAAGTGTACATCTCTTTTATTTTAATATGTAATTTAAAAAGAATAAAAAAATGCTTGGGAACTATGGTAACTTACCAAACTCAACAAGAAAACCACAAGGTCTTTCTAGTTGATTACTAGCAAGTAGAATGATTTGGGTTTTGAAGACACAGGTCCACTGGAAATTGGCATGATCTGGATTCATGAGAATTTTTCTCCAAAGCATTTGTCATCTAGTCCATGTGCTTCTCACATTGTGAAGTATCTCTCAGTCCCCAGTTATGTTGCATCACAGAGGTCTCAAAATTTACTATTAGGAAATATTTAAAGATAAATGAAAAATCTTGAGATAGTGATATATTGGGAGACCCAAATGAGCGTTGTTTAGAGAAGAGCTACTGACACTTGTTTCACTTGTTTTTGAAAAGCAAATATAGTATGATTCAAAATTACTTCCGACAGCAACCAACCGCCAACTGTTTAGATTGGTTCAATTCAGCATATCTAAGACTCCCCATGCTACTTCCGTCTTCAAAAAGAAGCTCTTCAGATTGGCAGTGAGGGAATATTTCCTTTGAACATTTAAGTAATATTTAAAGATAGAAAAAAGATACAAATGCTAATAATTAAAAAGTAAATGAATAATACCCAATACAGAATACTTGAAAGGCATGGTAGATTTTTACATTCCCGGAAAGTGGCAGCCAAATGTGCCACTTTTTCAAATATTGAAAATTCTCAGTTTCTGCTAATATGCACAGTGAGAAGTACACAATTGAGGGACAATTGCAAGAAACATCAAGTAAAAATACATTTGCACAATTAACAGTAAAAAAATTTGTTTAACTGTTCTAGAACATTTGTTCATTTCTCCATGTTAGTGTAGTTCTAGACAGAGATTAAAAGAAGGGGAGACATTAGCAGGGAGTGGTCAGGAGGGAAAACGAAAGGGAGCAAACCAACACTGTGTTTCCAAAAATGTATACTACAATTCAGAAACTGTTTGGAAATTATGGTTTAACACTTGAGTGGTGAATAGGGACAGCAGTATAACAGATTATTCTGATAATAGCAAGAAAACAATGTCTTTTATCACTCTCTTAAGATCAATAATTTTGAAATTCAATAGTTTCTTAATCAGTAACAGTAATTAAAAATAAACATCTTCTCTAAGCATTTTTATATACTAAATATTTTTATTTTTATCACATTATTGAAAATGTTATACTGATTTAGTCATATTCCTAATCCTCAAACCAAAGTCTACATGTAATCTAAGTTAAAATAATAAAACCAAATTAAGAACTGACATGTCTAACCTTCAGAACTTTGATGAGCATGGTGACTATGTGAGATAAGTTTGATTTATGAGCTTGCTGCTTAGTTATGTCAGAGATACTTGCTGGGGAGATTTTGGGACAGTTTCTTCTCTAACTAGTCAGCTTCTAGAATGTTTCTGAACAGCAACCATTCCAGTCAATGAAGAACCTTCACTGTTAGCTCACTTGCACCTTTAATTACCTTTAAAAGCCAGCAAGACAACGTATGAATGTTCACTTTTTATTAAATAACTCTCCAGACAAAAGGCTCTTAATCTTTTTAGAAGGAAGCTGACTTCATTGCCATCAAGAATTCTTATTCAGGTGAAGGCATGACCTGCATAAAAATTTCCCTTTGCCCTTTTGGCTACCCAATAAATAACCTAAGGTTGGAAGTAATGATAAATTAAGGAAATCAAATCCAGAATGACTGAAAAGACTTAATACTGTAAATAATTAGAAAGAGAGATTTCCGGGGAGCCCAAGTGAAGCTATGAAGGTCAGACCCAAGAAGCTCAGTTTCATAGAAAATGATCTCAAGCAGAAGGCTGATTGCTCAGTATTTGTTCTGGTTAGTCATGAGCCATCCATTTATTTGCCCTTTTATTCTAGAAAAATGTTTCCACCATTTACCAAGTAACAAAAACTATCTATATGGGAGTAACAAGACCTTCTAGGCACACACACACTCATATAAGTAATAAGGACATATGAATAGATAAAAAGACAACTGGGTAGGTTGGTGACATGAGAAAGGCACAGAGGCTTAAGTAAGCATAGGAGGGGCATCTAACTCAGCTATAGATGAGGAGGGGGTAAGTGGATTAGAAAAACATCTGGAGGAATGACTGAAAGATGAGTAGAATTCACTGGGTAGAGGGAGAGCAGAGGATAAAAAAGTTTATGTGTATGTTTAGGGAAGGTAGAAAGAAGAGAAGGAAGGTGCACACATATGGGTGTTGCTGGGATGTGACTTGTTAGTAGTGGTCAGTGTAAACTCTTTGGGGAAAGCATTAAAAAGCCACCGACCAGCATTTTAACAGGAAAATAAGACCTTCAGGCTCTTGTTTTTGAAAAATACCCTGGCAACTGTGTGGAAGGTGAATTGGAGCAGACAAACTAGAATCATGATATAAATGGAATCAAAAGCATGCATTCCAGAGTTGATGGAGTCCAGAACCAAGTAGCCAGGGAACTGAGATATTACAGACGTGGAACTGGCAGCCATAGGGTTGTGGGCTGATTCAATGAGGACTCAGAAAGACTATGATGATTCCAGTCTCTCTGAAAGGATGGTCTTTCTTGCTAAACTCCTTAAGCAATGCACTTCATCACTTATAGATGTCATGTTGTTTGAACTACATTTATTTTCTTTTTCATATCTTCCCCACAGTCATGGAACAGGATATTTCTCCTTCTCATTGAGGAAGTCAAGGTCTTCCCTGAACACACTTCCCTCTCTTACCAGCCAAAGCTCCCCATTTCTCCCCAGCATGAATCTAAATCTCACCCTCTGGGATAATTTCCTCATATGTCCCTTCTCCTCTCCCCTGGGCTTCCTCTTTATTAAAGATTTATTGCCCTGGATAATTCTGTTGAAACTCCCTGGTGTCATTGTAATTTCCCAATTAAGGATCTCTATCCCACAAGAGTTGTAGTTGGAGTTGCCTGGGTCTGCCTGGCTTGAGGGCATAAGTTCTCTTTTCTGCACTGCTCTTTTGAGGAAGGTCTATAATCACTTCTTGAAGCCATATTTGAAAAACAGCAAGCCTTACAAACCACAAGCCTTCCCATCATCACACTCCTCACTTTGGTCTTGGTCCAGAATTTCTTCAAGAATCCCCAGAGGAATAAAAAACAGTTAAACTAGTAGTGTCTGAGGTTAAGTGACAAGTTACAGCAAGGTGTTGGGTATTGTGCTAAATGCTTTAAATGTGTTATTTTATTTAATCTCCACAGTATTTCCATGAGGTATGTACTACCTGAGGCTCAAGAACGTTAAGTTACTTGCCCAAAGTCATGCAGGATGACTTTTATACTGCTCCTCCTTCATCTCTTGCAATTGTCCCCTCTATTCCTTACTGAAAAAACATCTAATCCAACACATTTATTTATTCTTCAATCCTGTACAAATTTTGGTTGTGTTTACATAGTCATTAGTAAAGTCAAATATAATTCAAAAGTTTAGTTATCTTTTCTTTCATTCGTTCATTCAAACTTTCAATGTGCACTTGCTACTTGTGCTACGCATCAGAATTCATAGACGAGTAAGAATCCCTGCTATAGGGGAGCTCCCAGTTTTCCACTGTGGCCCCACAAGCATAACGAACTAGTTTCCAAACGTCACCAACAAATGGAAAGGTTTCCATCCACAGGGCTGAATGAAAGCTGGATAATTCACATCTCTGATTTTTCTTCCTCTGCTTTCTTACTCATCACTTTCCCATAGATCTTATTTCTCCATTCACCATCTGGCTTTGGCAAAATATCTAGTCATCTTGGCCATATTGATGGCTTAATTTCAGTTAGGGACTGACCTGCAAAGGGTTTGACTAGCTATTTGACTTAATTGAACACACCTGGTCCTTAGGAAACTATCCAAGGGCCCACAGGAAAACTAAGGAAGAGCCCTAGTTGCACACATTTCAGTCAGCACTTGGGATTTTTACAAATAAATTATTATTCCCCCTTGAAATTTTGAAGTCTCTTCTGCCCATTTATTTTAGAGTAGACACCCATCACCAGGGTTCCAGCCATGTTTGTTACAGAACTATGACATATTGAAGGACTTCAACGAATGCTATTATTGTTGCTATTAATGGTATGGGCAATAATCACAAATGGTCACAAGTTTCCATGCTGCCTGAGATGAAAAATTCTATTCTGAATATGCAAGAAAGTAATTATAAGCATAATTTACTTTAAATGGATTTATTCATGTTTTCATGTATTTGCTTTACTTGTGTTTGCACATTGCAGCAGGCTATAGTCCCAAAGTCCAATATCAATAATAGGGAAAAAATACAATTCAGCCTTTGACTGATCTGCAGATAACATAAGGGAAATGTCTGGGGGAATCAAAAATGGACAATTAGCACAGAGAAAAAAACAATTGTTCTAAGGCAGTGAAACGTGCCTGATAGACAACCACGTTTGCACAGCCTCACTCTACTTCCTTTTGCAGAAACGCTGCCATTGGGCTCCAAGGACAGTCAGATCCCTGTGTTTCAGAGTTAGCTGTTAGACCTACTCCACTGTCATGGGCACCGGAAATAATTTCCTTTCAAATAACATCCACAAATCACTCACTCCTTTCTTTCCAGTAAGTCATTGGGTAGTAGGAAATTATGAGAAGAGGAAAATGAAAAAATAAGTAATTTCCAAAATATGTTTATATGCTTTACTGAAACTCATAAGAATTGACTGTCACTGTTAGATAATGAAACTACCTATTATCAATTTCCCCTTGTTCCTTTCTTCCTCACAGAACAGGTGGGTGGTAGGGGAAAGGAGGGCAGAAGTGTGCTTAGTTAAAATATTCTATTTATCAGATTCTCTAACTCCTAGGGAGGGCTACGTGACATAGTTATGGCCAATGACATGTAAGCAAAATCTGTTGAGGATTTCTGGGAGAGTTTTTGCTTTACCAATACAAATGCTCCCCCTTTCTTCTTCTTTTTACTTTTTCTTCCTGCCCAGAATGCAGAGTTAAGGCTGAAGATGTAGCAGCCTTCTTGTGACCATAAAGCAACAAACACATGAATGAAAGCCATGTGCTAAAGATACAGGAGCAAAAGATAGAGCATTGAGTATTAATGACATCTGACTATTACATGTAGCTGAATCTTAGATGATGCTTAGGATTTATTTTATTTATTTATTTTTTAAGACAGGGTCTTGCTCTGTTGCTCAGGCTGGAGTGCGGTGGCCCATTCATAGCTCACTGCAGCTTCAAACTCCCAGGCTCAAGCAATCCTCCCATCTCAGCTCCTGAGTAGCTAGAACCACAAGCATGCACCGCCATGCTCAGCCAATTTTTTTATTATTATTATTTTTGTAGAGACAAGGGTCTCACTATATTGTCCAGGCTGGTCCCAAACTCCTGGGATCAAGGGATCCTCCCAGCTCAGCCTCCCAAAGTGCTGAGTATTACAGATATGAGCCATGACATCCAGCCCATGCGTAGGATAAAGGACAAAAAACAAAACACATCTGTGTCCACAGCAAAACTGCCTCTGACATCTCTGTCATGTGTGGTTCAAATAACTGTTAGGAATATTTGACCTGTGCTCACTGAAGATTTTTTTTTTGTTATTGTTCCAATGTCTACCTTCTACTCAGGATATAGAAGCCACATAAATAGCACAATGTGCTTTAGTTTAGAAACTGAGCATACACAGAGATCTTGACCTGCCAGACCCCTGGAGTGGTGGGTCAACTTCTGGGCAGACAGGGAAAAAAGCTTGAAGAAGTGAGTATACATAAGGAGACTAAGACCCTTTTACTCTCCCTCAGGGAGTAATTACTCACTCTATAAGGTGAACACAGTTATGTCCCTCCCTGGCAGCTGAGCAGGACAGGAGAGAGGGCAACCTCTCCTCTGAGTATCCTGGGGGGTGTGCTGCAAATGCCTTCCTGGACATGCTCTGCTGAAGAAGTTCTTAACAAAAGCAGTTCCCTGACTCATGTCACCCAAAGCAGCCTTAACAAAAAGCTAGAACTGGCATGGGAAACCTGTAAAGTGGTGGACATAAAGGCTTCAATAATGGCATCTGAAATGGATGAAGCGCCTGTTGCTATCTGCTGCCAAGAACAGCACACAGAAAACCTCTATCTGTAATCTGAAGCCAGCATCTTTTGATAGGTCAGCTGCAATAGACCAAGGGAGAATGTGATGGAGAATGTGGATCACCCAGTGCAACTGTCACTGCAATTTAAACACAACCTCGAGCACATGTTTTCCTGATAGCAGCAAGGTGCAGCCCGATAAGCATTCTAGGGGAAGGCTACCCAGGCTATTAGACACTAAAGTGGCTGCCGCAGTATTTAAGAGCATATGATGACAAAGTAGGGACACATAGGCACATTACTGACAGAGGGCTCTAATGATGCTTCAGACTTCAGCGCTATCTAACTTAGGGAGAGCACATTCAAGTGCCCACAAGGTAAGTGGCCCACCCTACAGCCTGCTGTTCAATTCCTTAAATTATGTGGTCCCTCCAATCTGTCTTTCCTCTCCCATTTTTATTAGGATGAATGACAACAGTGAAAGCAAGAGGCTAAGTGGTAGCTAATATGTAACCTCCGTGATGATGAGGAACAAAGGACTGGTGAGACTCTAGTGAACTGAAGGGTCTGTACCACATCTAAAGGTTGCAGGCATTACATAGCTCTCCTCATTGTTATCATGCAGGCCCACTGTTTCAAGCTTCTTTCTTGTTCTTTCAAGAAAATCCAGCAATTCTTAAGGAAATCTGTAAATATTTAAACATATTTCTGGTCAAACAAAACATGCCTGTGTGTTGGGTCCAACATATGGACTGTCAAATGGAAATTTCTATTGTAAAAATTCAAATGCATTAATATTTGTGTTGAATGTCTATTATAGACACAGTTTGTCTTCACATCTTAACCTCTGTTTCCTCCTTTCCTGTTTCCTTGCCCATCTCTAAGTTCCCATCGTTTCTTTTATCCTTTCCCATGCTCTCAACTGGACTACAGTCATCAGTAGGAATGAAGTATTACCTGTCTCAGAATTATTTACATCTAAAGAGATCTCTGCAATTAGAAAAATTTCTGTAAGAACCCAACAAGGGACTCTAGGAAGGACTCTACAGGCAGAACGTTAGAGGAGAGATCAGGGCAGTCCAGCACCTCTCATATCACACAATATACCTCTAGCAACTCCTGCTGGTGCTCCATCATGTGAGGGCCACACATTCCTGTTCACAACCAAACACAGAGACACATATTTATACACACCTGCAATAACTTTGATTGTCCAAATAACAACATGACAGATAAATAGACCTTCCTCAGGAGTGGCAGATAAAATTTAGTGAATCTAAACTCGTTGGCACATTTTATGCTTGTTTCCTGGGTTGGGTTTCAGTTCACTTTGTATCCACAGGAAATGTTATGATGGAAAATTCCACAACTGGCTCCCAACTTGCATTCCAACTTGGATCCAAGAACCAATTTCATCAAATCAAACTGGAACTAAAATACAGAAATTTTTGGATATATAATCACACAGTAATAATAATCATAAAACCTTCCATTACAGCATTTCTTTAGAATTTACAAAGCACTTTCATATCCATAATTTCATTTGATCCACCAGGCTAGCAGAAGCACATAGGATAGTTCATGAATGTGAAAAAGTCCCTCAACACAAATCATAAACAGAGGCACAATTTTTTAAATTACCTTGTAAAAACTTGTTAGAAGCAATGCACATTAATTATAGAAATTAGCCCAATCCATATGGGAATTTAATATATGATAAAGGAGACATCACAACTAAGTAGGGCAAGATAGTTTTAAAATATGTTCACAAATTCTTTGGTATTTCTCCTTTCAAGAGCTAGAGGTTGATTCTCCTGCCCTTGGGTGAGGACTGGACTTAGTGACTCACTTCTAGTGAGTAAGATGTTGCGGAAGCAATAGTATGTCCCTTCTGAAATTATGCCATTAAAAACACCCCAGCTTTTGTCTTTGTGGGTTCTCTTTTTGGCTTAGATCACTTGCTTTGGCAGAAGCCAGATGCTATATCATGAAGACACTTAGGCACCTACTGAGAGGCCCACAAAGTAAGCAACAGAGGCCTCCAGCCAACAGCCAATAAGAAACTAAAGCCTGGTAAGAACCATGGGGATGATCTTGGTAGCCCATCACTGAGCCTCCAGATGGCTGCGTTCCTGGCCAATAGCATAATTGGAACTTTACGAGCAAGGCTGAGCCAGAACCACCCAGAAAAGCCACTCTCAGATTCTGACCTTCAGAAACTGTGTGACATCATAAATGTGTGTGTTTTAGGCTGCTAAGATTTGGAGGAATTTTATTACACAGCAATAGATAATTAGTACATGGGGTAATAATTGATGTTAGTACAACTAGGTACTCATCTGAAAAAATATAACACTGGATACATACTTTATACTGTTGAACAGGACAAATTTTAACTAGGTCAAAAATTTCAATGTAAAATATGAAATGTTCTAAATTGTTAGAAAAAACATGGGCTGGTTCCTTTACACCTGGGTTTCTCAACCTCAGCACTGCTGACATGTTTGGCTGGATAATTCCTTGTTGTAAGATGCTTTCCTGTGCATTGTAGCATATTTAGTGGCATTTCTGGCCTCTATCCACTAGATACTAATAAGTTGTACCCAGTTGTGATCATCAAAATTATCTTTAGACAACGGAGCAGAGGAGGAAATGAACTTTCAAGTTATGATAAAAAGAAAATACACACACACAATAATATGCAAAGTCAAAGGACAAGCGACATGCTGGGGGGAAAATATTTGCAACTCATATCACAGGCAGATGACTAACAATTGAATAGAAAAATGGGCAAAGGACCAAAAGAGGAAATTCCTAGAAAAAAGAAATGCAAGTGAACCTTAAACATATAAAATGATGCTCAATCTCATTCAAAGCAAGATAAATTGAAATAAAAACTAAACAGATACCTTCTTTATTTATCAAAACTGGCAAAAATCCCTGAGTTTGGAGGTACACTCTCTGGTCACACCTGGGAAAATAAGAGAAATAAATACTCTTATACATTGTTGATGGGAGTACAAAATGGTTCAACTCTAATGGAGTAGTATTTAGTACTATCTTCCAAAAATTACAAGTGCATTTATTTTTAGACCCAGCTATTCTATTTCTAGGAATTCATCTTAGTGACACGCCCTTCTTGCTTTCTGCGATGATGATGGAACTGTGACTGGCATGTGGTTGCCCCACTGGAGACTGCATTTCCCATCCTCTGTTGCAGATAATAGAAGCTATACTCCTGAGTCTCTGCATGGAACGTAACTGGAACATGAGATGTTTGCTGATTCCAGGTCTGGACCTCAACATGTCGGATATGCACTTCTGCTCTTCCTCTTGATCTCTGTTTCCCTTCCTGTGACCTGAAATGTGGTTGTGTCCATGATCCAGTTTCAACCATGCAGATTAAGACCTTGAGAAAAGTGGGAGGAATGAGTTTAAAGTCCCTGGATGAGCATGAGAAACAAGCCACCACCAAACTACATGCCCCCTTCCCTATTTAGACTGTTGCATGAGAAAAATAAACGTGAAGCCATTGTATGTCTGGATCTCTTTCATAGAACAGCTTAGCCTTTATCCTACTATATATATGCTCACTATGAAATGACATGTAGACAAGGTTATTCATTTCAAAATTGTTTTACATAGTAAAAGATTAGAGACTGCCCAAGTTTCCATTAATAAGGGGCTAGAGGCCAGGCACAGTGGCTCATGCCTGTAATCCCAGCACTTTGGGAGGCCAACATAGGAGGATCACTTGAGCTCAGGTGTTCAAGACCAGTCTGGGCAACAAAGTGAGACCCCATCTCTACAAATATGGAAACAAAAATAGCAGGGTGTGGTGGCACAGGCCTATAGTCCCAGGTACTCGGGAAGCTAAATTGGGAGGATCACTTGAGGTACAGGAGGTCGAGGTTGCAGTGAGCCATGATCATGCCACTGTACTCCAACCTGGGTGACAGAACAAGACCCTGTCTCAAAAAAATAAAACAAAATAATAATAATTAAATAAGAGTCTGGATATAAAAGCTACAGCATATCCACACAATGAAGTCCCAAGTAAGTATTTAAAAAGTGAAGAAGCCCTCTCTATATTCAAATAAATAGACCTCCCGGACATATTGTTAAAAGAAAAACACATGACACAAAGCATTGATTTCCAATAAGACCATACATCCCTAGTGTTGGGCTTGGGCATGTGACATGCTGTGGCCAATGGAGTAGGGGAATGTCGGTTGTGTCTGAGCTTCCTGTGACACCATTAATTTCCACCAGCTACCATGAAAGAAGCATGTCCCAGAAAGCAGATAGTCCTTTGGCCTGGGTCCCAGAAAAAGAAGGTCTAGGAAGCCTATTGCTGCCAAAAGCAGAGCTGCAGCCCACATGCAAAGTGAGTGAGAAAGAAAATTGTGTTTTGTCCATCACTGACATTCAGGGGTTATTTGCATTTATGAAGAATAGTAAAAGCCAAGGGGTTTTCTATTAATAAGCTACTTATTGTTTAAGAAAGGGAATTATAAGAATTTATATCACTTGGGGAGGCCAAGAAGGGAGGATCACTTGAGGCCAGGAGTTTGAGACCAGCCTGGGCAACATGAGACCCCATCTCTACAAAAAAATTTTTTTAGTTAGTCAGCCATGGTAGCCTGTGCCTCTGTTCCCAGCTACTCTAGAGGCTGAGGCAGGAAGATCACTGGATCACTTGAGCCCAGGATTCTGAGGCTTCAGTGACTTATGATCACACCACTCCACTCCAGGCTGGGTGACAGAGGAAAAGGCTAATCAAAAAAATAAAAAATAAATACATAAATAATTTTATATTTAAATTTACTTTTATAAAGAAACAGGGAAGATATATGAAAAACTGTTGACAATTTTTAAGTCATAATAGAAAGCAGAGATAATAGGATGGACAGAGAGGAAGCAAAGTTTGTTAATGTCTAAATGTATTTTTTAATTGTTTTCACTTTTTACCAATGTGAACATATTACCCAGTCAAAGAAATAAAAGGTACTCATAAAATTTAGAACATTACAAATAAGCAAAAAATAAAACAATAAAAATGTAATGATCAGTTGAAGCTGTTATCAACATTTTGCTATATCTACTTCTTGTTTTTTATTCTGTATTTTTAAAATAAAAATGGAATTGTGCTACACATACTGTTTTGTAAACTTTCATTCCCACCTACCAGTATACGAGGGCAACTTCTTGAATGTTCAGTAAGCATTTTAACCTGCGACACCCAGCTTACTTATTTAGGCTTCCTCCAACATATTATAGAAAGTTCTAGCAGAGGACTGTGCAGAAGTGCTCATGCACATAAGTCTTGGAGCCAGTCTTCCTGTGTCTTCAGGTCACCCTGTTTGACTAAGAAGTCCCCAGCCTTGCAAGGACAGACGTGAGTGTGAGGGAGGGCGTAAGCTTTTGCCTACAGAGCCAGGTCAATCCAGAGGCTCATGTATGACTCTAGCAGTGGCAACGGCAGAAGGGATTCTGGTTGTGTTTTACACTTGGGGAGTGTCTTTCTTCAAAGATTTGATAAAGCCACGAGTGAGTGCCTTCTTCCTAAGGACAGTTTTTCTGTTTCTATATGATCAAATATTTCCATCGCAAGCCGAAGTGAAAGTAGTAAAAAAAAAGTTGTATCAAAAAACACAGAAAAAATTCTGTTGTCTCAGGAATATCTTAAGAAAATATGCTAAGAATAGGAGGAATTTGATATTGAGATTAAGTTTTTCATCATCCAGCAAGGAATGAGGTCACACACCTGGGGGCAAGGTTTTGGGTATGTACGCCAGCGTGTTGCCACTACACAACAATGTCCCTATCCCTACAGCATTGTATTGAATGGTATTTGTATTTTATCCCTATAACACAGGTCACCTTTTAACTTACCGCATGTCACCTTTGCACTGACAGTGAAAGGAAGGACATTCTGATAGCATGGATGTGTATGTTTTAAATAATATAAACTAAAATCCACATGTAGCATTCAATTGCCAGAATGTAGCACTGGTGTACCCAATGGAGGGAATTACTGTCAGGGTGTGTTTCTTATTCCTCTAAAGATCCAGGGAATCGACTCAACTGGCCTGGAGGAGAGGGGTCCCTGCAGACTTACCAGTGCTTTAGAAGCCCCAAGGCAGAATTTTCAATGCCAGAAGGTGATTTTGAGGGCTGTATTAGCCCATAAGCATGCCCATGAGGACTAATGGGAACGCTGTAAGATAAAAAAATATATATTATAAAAGACAAGGTGAAGATGAAACAGATTCAGACTTCTCTGGCAGGTCTAAATAATTCAAAAGCTCAAAGCACAGGCTTCTAGGACGGGTTAAACACATCCAGCTGTGAATCAGAAGACCTATGTTTTACGAGTTTAACATTTTGGATAGTAACCAAGAAGGAGGGGGTTGAAAGTCATTCAGGAAGAGCAAACAAGATAATTTTGGATTCTTGCTTTTTACTGACAGAGCAGGCAAAAATTATGAGGATGGCTGATAAAGGTAGAAATAGCTACTCAACTAAACATAGAAGAGATAGTATGAAAAGGACTTTTCCAAAGAACCTTCAGCATTACACCCCATTGTAAGAGAGGAGGCAGTGAAGTAGCTTAACACCCACGCCTTTAATATCCTGTATCACAGAAATACACGATGTGTCACTATGGGCACATAGGCCAACTCTGAACATGACACTAGTGACAATTTTATCATTGGCTTTTGTGGGGTCAACATTTCCATATTCAACTTTGGTCTTTATCTCTCTAGGGTATTCTAGGAGACATGAAACTTAGGTGAGAAGACTATTATGGAGGTAGGAATAACAGAAGCAGGAAATGCCAGGTGGCCACCATTGTTGCAATCACTTAGTGTGACCACTGCCGTGCTTGTGGGGGAAAGAGAGGTAGGAAGATATACAGCAGGAGCAGACACTGCCTTATATGAGGATGATGGAGAGAAGGAATGGAAGGAGAAAGAAGAAGAGGGGAAGATGCTAATGACAAACACCCAGAAATGGTAAAAATAAGGCTTTCCCATCTCCATCCAGCTATTTCAGGGCCATGTGTCTGGGTAGCTGGCATCCTGAAGCACTTGGGCAAGTTGGCACTTGTAGCAAGGAATTTTTCTGCCAAGCAGTCCTGTCCTTGACAACCTTCTAAAGCTCATTTAGAGAGACACTGTTGTCTCTGCAAGTGTTTGGTAGTTATGAAGCCAGGGCAGCCTCTGGCTAAGAGTGATATTGAATCCATGATAAAGCCACAGAGGGAAAACTTCTCACTTTCCTCGAAGACATGTCTCCTAAAGCTGTTAGGAGTTATTGGCTGGTGTGTGGGCTGTCAGAATGAAAATTCTTTTTGAGAAAAAGTATCCTATTTCTCTGCCATATGTTTTAATCATTGCAGTCAATAATTTTGCCAGGTAATCTTAGTATTTCTCCTTATTTTGTATGTTCACATTGCATTATCAATATTTTTCACTGATTGAGGCATTTTGGGTGCATACATTAATAATTATACTTTGGGGATAGAAATTTAATAATTAGACGTTTGTAGAGAAGCCACTCGCTTCTGAATTGTTGTCAAATTACACTTAACTCATTTATGCCTTAACGTGTGACAGGAGCTAGAAGTGCTAACACTACATAGAGTGTGAGATCTGGGCCAAACACCAAAGAAAACTCACAGATTCATTGTTTCCAATACCTGACCTCATGCAAGTTGTGTCACGAAACTACTTTTGTTGCAGAGACAACCAGCACTGCTGTTAGCAAAAAGTTTCCATGTATTCTTTCAACAATAAGGGTCATACACTGGAGTGTTACAGGTACCACCTCTTGCCAAAGTGCATTTATTTTTCTCAGTCAATATTTAATCAATTGTAAATTATTTCCTTAAATACTTTTGGTAAGAAGGGTTTCCTCTGGTCATTTCAGCTTGGACTCTTACAGGGTTGCAAATGGGTGGCACTTGCTCCCTGTCAGTTCCTCTATATTGACTTGTAAGCATTTGCTGCATCATATCCTCCTGTAACATTTTTGCTTTGCGATTTCCATTCCATTCAGATGATCAGCTACGAAGTTTCTGACCGCATAAGCATTTGCCGTCTAAAGTCACAACAACATTTTTAACTTTTATTTTCCTAGAACTTATAATTTTTTACCATGGTAAAATGTACATATATAACATAAAACTTACCTTTTCAAGTGTACAGTTCAGTGGCATTAAGTACATTCACAATGTTGTGAAACCACCACCACAATCCATTTCCAGAACATTTTCACGATCTCAAACTGAAACTCCATGCTTATTAAATGATAACTCCCCATTCCTCACTTCCCACTGCCCCAGGAAACCTCTATTCTACTTTCTGTTCAAATCACTTTCTGTGTATTTACTTGATGTAAAGAAAGGGGAATCTGTCAGCATTCATAGGTGAATTGACAGCCAAAACCATAGGTGAAGTGACACCCGCCTCGGAAAGAACATGACTCAAGGCTACTTGTCCTCAGTTCCTATCGTCTTCATGCTCCTCTCTCCATGTCCCTCTGCTCAGAAAGCTGCAAATAAAACAAGCAACAGAGTCAGAAAGCAACTGATAACAATAGACTTTGTGTCCTCACCCAAATATCATCTTGAATTATAATCCGCATAATCCCCACATGTTATGGAGATACCAGGTATCTCCATAACATGGATGCAGTTTCATCCATGCTGTTCGTGTGATAGTCAGTGAGTTCTCACGAGATCTGATGGTTTCATAAGGGGCTTTTCCCCCTTCACTCAGAACTTCTCCTTCCTGCCACCTTGTGAAGAAGGTGTTTGCTTCGCCTTTGCCTTCCACCATGATTGTAAGTGTCCTGAGGCCTCTCCAGCCATGCTAAACTTTGAGTCAATTAAACATCTTTCCTTTATAAATTACCCAGTCTCAGGCAGTTCTTTATAGCAGTATGAAAATGGACTAATACAGCAACTATGAAATGGGATAAAATATTTGCAAACCAGATATCCAATAGGGGGCTAATATCTGAAGTACGTAAGGAATTCATACAATTCAATAGCAAAAAAACAAATGACCTGATTTTAAAAGGGAGAAAAAACCTGAATAAATTTTTCAAAAGAAGACATACAAGTGGCCAACAAGCCATTATCTTACTTGCTTGAAGTAGGATAAGATTTTGTTGCTTTAGATATAGCAAGACAACTCACATTACTGCAAAAGTCTTGGGGTGTTTTTCGTTTTTGTTTTTGTTTTTGTTTTTGTTTTTTGAGACAGTCACTCTGGCTTTCAGGCTGGAGTGCAGTGGCATGATCTCAGCTCACTGCAACTTCCACCTTCTGGGTTCAAGTGATTCTCCTGCCTCAGTCTCCTGATTAGCTGGGATTACAGGCACCAACCACCATGCCTGGCTAATTTTTGTATTTTCAGTAGAGACAAGGTTTCACCATGTTGGCCAAGCTGGTCTCGAACTCCTGACTTCAAGTGATCCACCTGCCTCGTCCTCCCAAAGTGCTGGGATTACAGGCAGGAGCCACCACGCCCAGCCTTCTGCAAAAGTTTGACTATTAGCAAACAATAAAACTGTATAGCCAGGATTTGTGGGAAGAAAAAGAATATTCTACACTCTTTTGGCATATTAAGGATCAAGCTTTAACACTTAAGTCATAGTATTATTTTACATAAATTTAGAGAAGATATTCTTTTGCCAGGAAAAGCCTTTGGCCACATAGCATGCTGCCCTGAGAGCAGGAGGAGGATAACTGAAGGAGGATGATACGGTTTGGATCTGTGTCTCCACACAACTCTCACGTTGAATTTTATTCCCAAGTGCCGGAACTGGGGCCTAGTGGAAGATGATTGGATCATGGGGGCAGTTTCTAATGGTTTAGCACCATCCATCTAGTGCTGTTCTCGTGATAGGGTTCTCACGAGATAGGTTGATTAAAAGTGTGCAGCACCTCCTCCCCACCTCCTCCTCCTCCTGCCATGTAAGACATGCCTGCTTCCCCTTCACCTTTCCACCAAGTCTGTAAGTTTCCTGATGCCTCCCCAAAAGCCAAGCAGATGCCAGCATCATGCTTCCTGTACAACCTGCAGAACTGTAAGCCAACTAAACCTCTTTTCTTCATAAATTACCCAGTCTCAGGTATTTCTTTATAAATTACCCAGTCTCAGGTAAGCAGTGCAAGAACAGCTTAATACAGAGGGAAAGCCCAAAGGTGACCCTGACCAGTCCTGAGGCATCACTGGAGAGATTATAAAGTCAGGGGCCAGGGTGCAGTTTCCTCCTTCCCAAAGATGGGTAGAGGGAGCCTTAGAACAGTGCCAGCCAATAGAAAAATGATGCAAGTCCCAAATTCGACCTATGAGTGTAATTTTATGTTTTCTAGTAGCCATCTGCAAAAGTGAAAAGAAGCAGGTGAAATTAACATCAATTATCCATTTTATTTAATCCAGTATAACCAAAATATTATTTCAACATATTATCAACATAAAATGACTGCTAAGCTGTTTTACATTTTAAAAATAGTTTTTGCCATCTGACATGTATTTTACACTTACAACACACTGCAATTCAGACTAGCCACATTTCAAGTGCTCAGTAGATGCATGTAGCCAATGACAATCATATTGAAATAGTACAGAAAAATAGCAATTATCTGTTTAATGCCATCACCTAAATGACATAGAATTGGGAGTTTGAAGGTGGCTTAGGGAGGAAGAGAATCAAATGAGCTTGAGGCAATGCTATGGCCCCTCCTGTCATCTCCACTAGGGCCTGCTGACAGCTTGTAGGGGACCTAGAAGTTTCCCTGCCCCAGTGACCAAAGATAGACAGACTGAGATTTAAAGAGCACTGGCAGAGCTGGGGCAGGAAAAGGAGGGCACCGGAAGTTGTAGTTTCAAGATGAGGACAAATGGCTAAGGTCATAGGCTGACAAGTGTAGCACCATTTCAACAGAAAATGACCATAAGATCCAGAAAACAGAGGGTCAAAGCCCCTCTTTTGTGTAAGATGAACCTCCACCACAGCACTTCATTCATTCATGTATTCAACAAGTATGAATTGAAGGTCTGCTCTGCAAAGGGCATTGATCTTGGTATTAGGGGACACAGCAATGAAAAAAAGAATTTTAAAAAATATCTTTTCCTATCTGAATTGCATTCTAGTTGAGTAAGAAAAAAGTTGAAAAAAATAATAAACAAAATGTAGAGGTTGTTAGATACTGATAAGAACTATGAGAAAAGAAAAAATAAAGTAGGATGAGGGAGTGGGTACATAAATAACTTTAAATAAGATAATCAGAGAAGGAGCAGGGCAGGGAATGGAAAATCTGAGACTGAACATTTTCATTCTTTTTTTCTTTTCTTGCTACCCAAGGTGGGAGCAAGGCAGCAAGGATGGCTCCAAACAGGGATCAGAGCAGTTAGGAGAAATAAATTGCCTTATATTTGGTACCTCTGTGTGTAATGTGATTGAATTGGCTACTTAAATTCATATATATTTATGTGGAAAAGAGTGCCAGTATGTAGTACAAACTATTAACTGTGCTTACCTCTGGGAATTTCATTGAATTTATTTTCATTGTACTTTTCTCCATTTTCCAGGTTTTCTATAATCAGCATAACCTACATTAAGCAAGGGGAGAAAGGCCCTCCAAAACGTCATTTCTGAAGAAAAGAAATAGAAATAAAGCCAGATTCCTCTGCCATCTGATAATATCTGTATAATTGAGGTATCTAACCATAATATGAACTTCTGAATTCGGTTCACCTTTCTGTGTTTTCTCAGCAACCATCATGCTAGCTTTCCTTCCTTTATGTTTTTATTCAGTTTTATTTTTTTAATCCATGTGTCCAAATTTTGTGAACTTGAATCTTCCCATTTGCATTTTTCTCATATTCAGCACCTAGCATCTGATTGTGCTGACAGCACCTTTTAAGAAATGCTGACAGGTTTGGGTTGTGATGCACACACACTGCCCGGTGCACCCATACATCAACGACTGTGACACTTCTCCCAGTCGGCCCCACCATCTCTTGGTGTGCTTTCTTCTGGAAACTTCCTGTGTGGAAAAATCCCCAAAGACATTCCGAGGAATTGCCATCTGGAATATTGAAAGTCGTCAACATGCTGCTTCATATAGATTTATTTGCAAGTACCATTATGGGCACCAAATTCAACAGAGCTGCTGAAAGCTTTTAACTCTTTGAGATAGAAGTGATACACAAACTCAAATAATTAGAACTGCCACTACTTTGAAGTGATACCGTTTGATGCTAACAGAACATCTTGATCTCCATTAAACCTCAGAGAACAATACAAATATTTTGGCAAATGTATGAGCTTGGACTGACATTCTATTAACCTGTTGATCTTTACGTTAACTTGTGTTAGTATACAGGATTTTCAAAGGCTCTTTTTGTTAACAATGTTGAAAATATGGAAGAACTATGTGTCTACAAAAATGTAGCTTTTATTTTAATTAAAATTTTCATATACAAAGTATTGATAATCTACCCTTTCAAAACCAATTATGAATACTTTGTAAAATGTCAGTTTTTTAAAGATTATTTTAATGTGAATTTGATTAAGAAATATACCGTAGAGAGTGACATGTTTTAGACAACTGAGAAATGTTTTTTATAAGGTTTGGGGCCTTGTAGGGGGTGGGAAGGAGGTTTGAACCCTCTTCCCTTTCAGGGTTTCATACCAAGGGAGCTTGTACACAGGAAACACTAGCCAAATGGGTAACAAATTACTACTTTAATATATAAGTACCTGATGCAAGGTCCTGACAATTTATGGCTTAGAATTCAATTAGAAGACCTAGTTGAAGCTTCCTAGTTACTTTCTGTACACCTAAACTACATTTTACCAGAAAATTTTCAGCAGAGTTTGAGTACACATCCCAGTTGATCAAACAAGTAGGCAAAAAAATTCAGTAAGTGTAGGGAAGAATTAAGTACACAATTAACAAATGAATTAGCATATTGATCTAAGTAGTATTTACCAAACACCGCCCATAACAATGACAACATTGATATCCTTTTCAATTGTAAATATTCCAAGTACCGAAACTGACAGTATGTTGAGTAATTTTTAAAAGTTCAATAAATTTCAGAAGATTGAAATAATGCATAGTATGTTCTCTGATCATGTTGGAATTATGCTAAAAATATACAACTTTCGAGCCCCAAATTATAGAAAATTAAGCTTTCAACAAAAATAAACACCTGTTTGTGATTAAAAACAAAGCTAAATTTTAAGAACTTTAAAAGCTAGTAACAGAAACTTCCTTTAACTGATAAAAGACATCTAAAAAAACTTTGTTGCAAGTATCATAAGTTGTTATTTAAAGCTTTCCTTTAGAAAAATCAATTCTATTTCTATATGCCAGCAACAAACTATAAAGTTTAGAAGTAATGCCATTTAAAACAGTAACAAAAAACACCAGATTTCTAGGAATAAATCTAGCAAAAAATGTCAAGACATCTATAGACAAAACCACAGAACATTATCAAGCAAAAATAAAGGAAATATATTTATGTAATGGAATCATATGAATTTTCATATTGGAAGACTTAGAATTATAAAAACTTCCATTTTTGGCCAGGCGCGATAGCTCATGCCTGTAATCCCAGCACTTTGGGAGGCTGAGGCAGGCGAATCACTTAAGGTCAGGAGTTTGAGACCAGCTTAGCTAACATGATGAAACCCTCTCTCTACTAAAACTACAAAAAATAGCTAGACATGGTGGCAGATGCCTGTAATCTCAGCTATTTGGGAGGCTGAGGCAGGAGAATCACTTGAAACTGAGAAGCGGAGGTTTCAGTGAGCAGAGATCATCCTGCCACATTCCAGCCTAGGCAACAGAGTGAGACTCTGTCTCAAAAAATAAAAATAAAAACAAGATTCAACTTGACACAATAAAAATCCCAGCAAATTTTTTGTGTATCATTAAGACAATTTTAAAATTTTTTATGGAAACTGAGAGGGCAAAGATTAGCCAACACAATTCTGAATAACACAAATATGATAAAGTTGGAGGCCTCATAATACCAAAAATGAAAGTTTATCTAGCTGCAATAATATAAGTAGTATGCTAAAATTACATACTTAGACAAATTGGTCATTGAACAGAATATAGCCTCCACCAAAAGAAAGAATAGTGTATTTGATAATGGTACTGGGTCATTTGGATATCCACCTGGAGAAAGAAATTAACCTTGATTCTTTCCTAGCTCATATCATACCTAAAAATAAATAACAATTGATTTTTTAAACTCTAAATATGAAAAGTAGAACAATGAAATTTCTGGAAGATAACAAAGAGTTTATCCTTCTGAACTTGAGGAGCAAAACCTTCTTAAACTGCACACACATTAAAAAATACTAATCATAAAACAGAAAAATGATAAACTAGACAGTATTAAAATTAAGAATTTTGACTTATCAAAAGAAACTATCAGAAGACAAACACAAGCCACAAAGCGGGAGAAGTTACATGTGATACCAATATTTAACAAAAGACTCATATCTAGAATATAAAAGACAAATGGAGCTTTCATATATTGCTGGTGGGAAAGTACATTGGTACAGTCACCTTGGAAAATTGTTCAGCAGCCCCTACTTAAACTGGAGCATTCAATCTCACTCCAAATACTCAACAGAAATATATATTCATGTGCAAAGATGTATAAAATCATATTCCAAGAAATATGATACAAAATAGCCAAAAATTGAAAGTAAGATAATTAGACAATATCAGAATGGATAAAAAATTCCATTATATTTATACAACTAATGTACAGCAATGAAAACAAATACAATAGCTAGTTTAAAAATAAAAATTCTGCCTTTAATAGTCAATGGCTTTCTAGATTTTATTAAATACTATATGATTTATGTCAGCTACAAAATAATCTTGGTAATATCTTGTGTGTTTAATAACACTTAGCATTCATATATTTTCATATAATACATTCAAGAGTTTATTCCCTTTCAAAAAGAATTGTAGATTGCACATGTCTTACAGGTACTTGGATCATTGAAGCCAGAGTTGCTACTGAATGAGCATACAAAAAACTTTCAAGTATAGTTAGCTTTGATTCCTCTTAGTGAGACTTGATTTCAATTTTAATTTTAATTATATTTTTTCTATGTGGTATGGCTGCTTTACAAAGCATATTTCATACTTTGAGATTCAAAAAAGTGAAATAATTTAAAATATTTCATTAATCCCAACCCTTTGGGAGGCTGAGGTGGGAAGATTGCTCAAACTCAGAAGTTTGGGACCAGCCTGGGCAACATAGTAAGACCTCATCTCTACAGAAAGAAATTCTTCAAATTAGCTGGGTATAGTGTCACATACCTGTGGTTCCAACTACCTGGGAGACTGAGGTGTGAGGACTGCTTGAGCCTAGACTGCAGTGAGCCATGATCGTGCCACTGCACTCCAGCCTAGGCAACAGAGTGAGATCCTGTCTCAAAAATAAATGAATAAATCTCATATACTTTGTTTCTTATATAGTGGGTTAGTTTCTCTCTTTTACATGGTGTACAGATCAACACATGCTCCAGCATGAGATAAAGAAGAGAAAATCCATCCATAATTTCACAAAAATCTTTTCGAAAAGACCATGTTGAGATGAAATTAATCAGGATGATGCTCTTGCACAATCCCGTTAAGTTTACAATGTGTAGAGGTATTAAGACTCCTTTTTAAATAACACCTCTTATTTGTGTAGAATTATACATTACAAACTGTTATTTTGCTTAATCCTTTTAACCACCGTGTGAGGCAGACAGGCTAGAGGATATTAGCTCCATTTTACAAAAGAGTTGGAAAACTATACCCACATTTAGTTTAAGACAGAGCTGGGATAGAAGACCTGGGCCTCCATACTCGCAACTGCTTTTTACCATGACTTGGTGCTACGTCATTTTAAAGTAATCTGATTTCACAGTGTTTTATAGTGTAAGAGTAACATCTATAGCATCTATTCCTGGCAGGTTAACTCTGGAGCCAACCAACCTAATTAATTACATCATAACTTGGCGCATTTTAAGGCATGGTTATACTCCTAACTCAATTTCCCAGCTATGTTTGAGAGTCCCCTGAGCCAAAATTGCAAGAAAACCAATGGGAACGAACCAGGGAATACAAGCACGTTTTCGAATTTAACCTAAGCCTGGCACATCCTCACCAATTGCTCAAATGGCAAGCTAAGGCAGCTAAGTGAAGAGAGCAGAGAGAAGGCCCACTTAGAAGTGAACACTAATGAAAAACACAAGCAGTATCAGATCCACTTTTTTCAGGAATAAAATTCCCAGAAGCCCTTTTGCCCGTCTACTACATCATTACCAGCAGGACAGAGGGCTATACTTCTGGGGACCAGAATATGAAAGGAAAAGGTCAATTAAGCTGCCTGCCTGGGGCCAGCACTCCTTTCAGCCTGGCTTTCACTATTTTTCATCTGAAGTAAGAAGCCAGAATATTCACCTGTGCCTTAAAGCCAGTAGGAAGCCCAAGCATCCTGCCTGGCACCACCCTGCTGGGCAGAGAAATGACTGGGTGAGGAACCAGTGAATTTTCCTCATCTATCAAAATGCTTTTTTTTCTATGACTTTTTTTTTTAAGTTCTAGCCTTAGTATCTCAGCATTGCTCAATTAACAAATCAGCCACCTTTTTTTTTTTTTTTTTTTTTTTTTTTGCATGGGGCGCAGCCATCTATGCTCTTAACCATCTCTTGAAATGCTCTTGCCTCTCCACTGTTTTTGCAAATCCATCCTTCCTCTGAGGTCCAGTTTAAGCTACCTTTCTGCTTCACCATCTTTAGCCTCTTGGCCTCTTAAAATGCAAACTGCCCAAGGCAGGGATTAATATCTCCAGGTCAATGACCAGGGGCAGTAAAGGCAGTAAATGGACTTTCTCTTTCTAGTGTTTCTTTAAGATTGAGGAAATCTGCTGCCAGAAACACCAGCTCTACCCTCACTCCCACCCACCACCTTCACGTCAACCTGGCCTTGTGCTTCTTTGATCCCAATTGCTTTGTGTGCCCAGTCCTCAATGAATCAAGGAAACAGAGAAGGCTCCAGGGACCAGACAACCTTCATGCCTCCCCTGAAAAGCATGACTGCAAGGAGGAGCGTGGATGCCGGAACCAAGGAGAGCTCTTTTATTTTATTTTATTTTTTTAAATGTTAGTGGGTACCTAGTAGGTGTATATATTTATGGAATACAAGAGATACTTTTATATAGGCATGCAACGCATAATAATCAGATCATGGAAGATGGCATATTCATCCCCTCAAGCACTTATCCTTTGTGTTACAAACAATCCAATTATATTATTTTAGGACTTTTAAGTGTACAACTAAATTACTATTGACTATAGTCACCTTGTTGTGCTGTCGAATACTAGACTTTATTCATTCATTCAATTTTTTGTGCCCATTAACCATCCCCACCTCCCTTCCCCAACCCCCACTACCCCTCCTAGCCTCTGGTAATCATCTTTCTATTCTCAATGAGAGTTCTTTCAGGAAGGAGGAGGGGGATGAGCGCAGAATCAACTAGGTCTCCTGTACTTCCCAAACAAGTGGTAGGCATGTCAGTGTTATGGAGCACATCTCTCTTTGTGCTACTTTGGCACCATGCTTTCCCCTGCCTGTCTCCATCCCCCAGCAGCTAGGGCTTTGCTACATCTACTGCACACCACTGTCATCAGCATTCATACCTAGTTGCTGAAATGAATGGCAAGTGACTGTTTTTCATTATACTTCTCAGGAGTGGCAACTGAGTCTTTCCAGAGTTAATTAACCTACACAAGCCCATAAAGGGCCAGCAATAGACTTAATATCAAGAATGCACCTCCTGACCCCTCTTCTTCTGATCTATGTTTCAATTATTAACCTGGGCTCCTGAAAAGGACACAGGCAGCTCTCATCACGCCAATTCTGTGTTAGTGAACAGGCGCTTAGTTTCATTTATGTAACCAAAACACGCCATGAAATTTTTTTCATTTTTCATAACACTCAGCTCAACTCAATTAATTGTTCTAGTTACAGTACTCCTAATTTTTATCCACCTGATTAACTGGAGAAAAATCCAAATACATTTCAAATTATAAATCTTTCATGATTTGGGAGATTTTATACAAATGTACATTTGACAGTGCTAATTTAAAGCAAATATCAAAGTTGATTAAACATTCTCAAGATAAGAGGGATAAACGATTGGATTATTTTATAGATTTAACTACCAATCATAAGCTGCTATGAGCAGAAATATTGTGATGTCCATTTTTAAAAATAATTATTTGGGAAATATACAAGAAGAACTATGGAAGTGGGTCAAGAATGTATGCACAAAACATTTGTACTCTTTACTGTGTAAACACTAATTTATTTATTGAAATCATACACTATTAAATATTTATTAAATAAATTAGCATTTTGCTGAGCTTCCCTCCAAAATCATTAACATGGTTTGTGGCTATTGATGTAGCCAGGGCTATGATTGTTTCCCCTGTCTCTTTTCCAATTGTTTCCTAACTATTTATTCACCAAGCATCATCCCCCAGAGTTTAATCTAACTGTGCAGTTATTCTCTAAAAAGCTAGTGAAGTAAAAGGTTTTTGAAAATCATGGAACTCTGATTGAACCACTGGGCTTATGTTAACCAATTCTCTTATTTTACCAATGCATCTGAAAAGAGCTTTCACGATTTACCCAACACCTTGAAACTAGCATCATCTTTTAAATAAAGAAAAGGAGTTATTTTTTAATGTGATGGACAGAGTTATTCATTAGAATTTCACTTCTTTGGGAAGAAATTTGGGGTCTAAGAGTAGGTTCATAAACCTAAAAAAGAAACCTATATGAGGGGTTGGGGGAGGGATAGCATTAGGAGAAAAGCCTAATGTAAATGACGAGCTGATGGGTGCAGCAAACCAACATGGCACAAGTATACCTATGTAACTAACAAACCTGCATGTTGTACACATGTACCCCAGAACTTAAAGTATAATAAAAAAAATTTAAAAAGAAAAAATTTTTAAAAAGACAATTTCAAGTTCAAGAAAAGAATGAATCCCCCAAAAACCCCAGAATAAAAACTGAAGAAAGAGAGATTTATTCTGTAAGTATTATCCATTCACCTTACAATTCTCAGAACCACTTGCAGGGCAAGCTAAATGCAAACAATAAATAAGCACGTAGACAGACAAACAGAAACAGCAAAAGTGAAAAAGTACACATTGCCAAGAAAACATTAAACTCATCCTCTCTGCTGGAAAATGAGCAGAACACATTCAACAGCTGAGAATATGCAGCCGCACAGTGCTCTCCCAGGTAATGTATAAATGACACACAGCATCCAGGCATGACAGCCTCTGAAAATCTCAATTGGTCTCTCTATTTCTTAGATTTAAAGTATAAAGTATACATTTTCTCTCTTATTTCTCTGCTTTGGTTAATACTAGATGAAAATTCTCTACTAATCTCAAACAATACATTAATAAGAACATTTTCCATATGTAATTTAATATTATTTTCATATTTGTCATATTCATGCCAAAAGAATCATTTTTATTCATACACACACACACATACACACAGACACACACACACACACACACACACACACACACACACATACACATGGCTTTCTCTGGTCCTACTGGCTAATGTATCCCAAACTTTTGGTATTTCATTACAGCAGGTCTTTGTGAGAAATGCTTTTATTCTGTAGAATTCAATGAACAAATTAAACTACTATGAAGAGAGGTATTCCACGTAGGAAATTTTTCATAAAATTCCTAAATTCCACATTTCTAAAAATGCGACCAAATATTTACACTGAAAGCATAGGTAACAGCTAAAATTGCCAATTTAAAATTTCTGTGATATATCGAGGCCTTAATCTAATTATAGAGGAATTATCTACACTTTTCTTTCTAAGATTTGTTGGCATATTTTTTTTCGAAATAAATATAACAACCAGGAGCTATTCTGCCCATTTTTATCTTCCACATTAAATGCTGAGTTGTCACCTAAGAGCATCATTATTTTGTTATGACTAGATTTTACAGTAGTCATTGTGTAATAAATGCTTTGAAATTGATCCCAACAACAGATAGAATATCTTTTCTTTTTTTTCTTTTTTAAAAACACTATAAAATAGATTTTTAACTATTAGAAAAAAATACTTTTCTCCAAACCTTCTCTTCTCATCTTGGGCATATACATGCATAACTTTTACATAGGTTTAATCAGGACCACATATATTCTTTTTTTTCCCACTTTTTTCACTTAGCATAAGTTCATAAATTTTGCTTCATATATTTATAATTTCCAGATGAATAAATTCTAGCAAAAAATTGGTATGAGCCAGATTGTCACCATGCCCTCATCATTATTGTCTTATTAGCTGCATAATATTCTAACACATTGATATACCACAATTGAATTAGACATTTGTGGTTAGTGGACATTTGCACTGATTTCCATTTTCTACCATAAATAACCCTGCAGTAAATATATATGTATATAGTCCTTCTCATCATCTTCGGATTATTTCTTTAGGATAAATTTCCAAGAATGGGAAATTACTGATTTTATTGCCAAAATGCTTTCCTTTTTAAATTGCTGTCAGGAATTTGTGAGTTTAGTTGTTTTCCTATACTCCATTAATGTTGAATATTGTTATTTTTAATTTTTGCTAACATATTTAAAATACCTCATTGTTCTTTCATGTTTTAATATTATTTTTTTCATTTAATAACTAAGGAGAGTGAACTTTTTAATGTCTTGGATAAATTATTATTCAGGATATTTTAATGGAGGAGCACTTACTATATGCCATGTGCTGAGGTGAGCACTACAGATATAATTATAAATAAAGTGGTCAGGCAAGGTGGCTCACACCTGTAATCCCAGCATTTTGGAAGGCCAAAGTGGGTGGATCACCTGAGGTCAGGAGTTCGAGACCAGCCTTGCCAGTATGGTGAAACCCTGTCTCTACTAAAAATACAAAAATTAGCTGGGTGTGGTGGTGCATGTTTGTAATCCCAGCTACACGGGAGGCCGAGGCAGAAGAATAGCTTGAACCCGGGAGGCGAAGGTTGCAGTGAGCCGATATCGCATCACTGCATTCAAGCCTGGGTGACAGAATGAGATCCATCTCAATAAATAAATATAAATAAATAAAGCATGATTTCGACCTAGAGGAGCTCGCAAAGTAGAGTATGTCAATGTCCTTTATTAATCTATAATTGAAATTTATTTCTTGCCCTTCTTAGCAATCAATTGACATTTGTAGAGTTCCTACTTTAGTAACATTAGTTTACATATACATGTTTTGAGAAATTTTTAAAATTCGAAAACATTCACATGTAAGTACAATGAATGCAGAGATGCTCACCACCAAAGGTCACATATTAACCTTACTTGTATAGATATATCAAGCCTTTTCATTTCAATAAAGAGACTAAATTTAGAGTCCTTTTTTTCTTCCCGTTTCCAATTCTCCCTTTTCCTAAACAACCACTATCATAAATTTTGTTTGTATATTTTCAATTAATTGTAAAATTAAACTTTAAATTTTAAAAATGATTTATGATTAATATATAGTAAAGTTTTCTGAGGATTTTAATTCACATATACAATATTATACTATTATATGTACACACACAAACACATAAATATAGTTTTGCAACTTCTCTTTGACACTTAGCATTGATTTTGAGACAGATCCTTGTTGCAATATAAACAATTACCTCATTTCTCTTAATTGCTGTATATATTCCATGATATAGATATATTTATTTATCTATGTCCCTATTAATGGACATATAAATTATTTCCTTTTTCCTTCAAAAAAAGGGCTGTAATAAATATCCTTATACATAATTTTTTGTGGATATGTATGAGTTTTCTCTAGTGGAAATATACCTTGAAATTGAATTGTTGGATTGTAAACTATGAGCATTTTCAGTTTCATTGGACACCATAAAGTGATTGCGCCAGTTTATTCTCCCATCAATAGTATATGAGAATTCCTGTTTTCTGGAATTTTCTGACCTCAGAGTTTTAAATTATCACCAACTGTATGCACGAGAAATGGCAATTGCTTATGTATTTATAACTTTGAGTATTAGTAATAAAGACTAACATCTCTCCACATTTTTCCTCTTAAGTTTCCCAGTCTGTAAATTGTCTAGTCACATAATTGGATCAGTTTTTCTATTACATTCTTTACATCGTGATGATGATGATGATGATGATGATGGTGATAGTGATGATAACTGATGATGGCAAGATAATGTACTTTTACTATGTAGAGCAAGTGTTCTTAGTGCTTCACACATATTAACCTAAATGAATCCTCAGAGCAGCCATATGAGACAGTTCCTAATTTTATAGATGAGGAAACTGAAAGCCAAAGAGACTAAATAACTGATTCAAAGTTAGGGAGCCAATAAATGAAGGAACCAGACTTTAATCCTAAACAGTCTGTGTCCAGACTGTTAAACTTGCTGTTAATAGTGCCAATCACACTGGGTGAAATAATTAGTCTCATAAAACAGGAGGATAGAACTAACCCCAACCTCATGTAATTTACATACACTGGTTCATCTTTCTCAGTATATTTCGTTTTACAAAATCAAAACTTATACAGGTGGAACAGATGTCAAAATAACTACAAATATAAAATATTTTAGACAATTTTTGATATTTTTGATCAATCCAATATCTTCTTTTTGTAGAAATCAAGATACACACAAGTGTATTGAAAATGTATTTTAAAAATCACTCTATATCCAAATGCCCAGATTGTTAAACTTTAGTGTATCTTTTAAAATAAATTAATAATTATTTAATTTTTAATGGTTGAGTATTTTTCTTCCTTTTCCACTATATCTAGAATTAAAAGCATTTGGAATAACAAATCATTTTTAGTATAAATTAAGGAAGGAATAATGAATGCACTTAAAATATATACAAATATAGAATTAGCATATGTAATTAAACCAAATTGGAATTTTTTAAAAACACACAGTTCAGCTCTTGCTGACACAAATAGAATAAATCATTGCACACCATTGTAGAGGGGAGAAGTTAGTAAAAAACAAAAAAGTAATAGGTTTTACCAAAATGGATATTACTCCAAACGTCCAATGATAGGCAGACTATAGTGTGATTTTTCATGGCTGGTAAAAATAAACAAAATTATTTGCAGATGAATTCTGTCAGCCAAGCAATCTGGACTAAAAGCTTAGCAAAAAAAAAAAAGAAAAGAAAAGAAAAAAAAGATTTTTACAGACTTGCTGTGTGGAAAGCAATTTTCCCTGCTGAGTATGCCCATCAAGATATAGATCTTAAAAATGTTGGTTTTTATAGTGAAGGTAGATGAAAAGGTAAATGTTGTGTGCTGCCTCTCAAGACGACATAACAGAACTGATATTTTTAGTGAGTCAAGTTAGTGTTTATCACCATTTTTCTCACTGAGCATATTTATTTGGATTTAGAAAGGCTCCCCAAGCCAGACTACTTTTAGGCAGCTCAGGCTCTTACCTAAACTCCCCAACCCACCACATCAGATACTTCTCTTCTACCAGCACAGTGCCTAAGCTTACAACATTAGTCAGAGTTTAGTCCTGATAACTCCTGTCAAGAGGCAAATCTTCTGTCTGGAAAGGGGTACAATACATGGGTCCATTGTCATCCATTAGTATCATTTATTGCTGGTATTTCCATCATCCATTAACAAAGCATTGAGAGAATAGTTGAAAGTTAAGCTTTCAAAAGGTAACAAAGAAAGCACAAGTCTAGAAAGGAGTTTCCCAAATTTTGTTTTTTCGAGAAATTTCTAAGCACTCTTAATGGGATACCATTAGGAAGTACAGAAGAGTCTAGCTAGCTCTTCATACAGTTACCAGACACATTGCCATTTTAAAAGCTCTGAGAAGTCTTCTAGGAAGAAACTTTTTTTCTTTTAATTTGTGGAATTTACCCTGAATGAAAACTGTAATAACAGAATGTGTATTGACAGTCAGGATGAAGCTCCAATGTGTCTCTCACAATAGGGTACAAGCTCTTTGATAGGGTGATTGACAAGGTATGAGATAGAAGAGTTTGATACCCACTGACAAGGGTAGATCAGAATGCATATGTAACTAATTATTTCTAATTAGAAAAATCCTCCAAAGTATAAGACACAGCTTTAAAAATATTAAAAATTAAATACACGTTGTTATAAGTAATCATGTTGAGTGTAGCTTTTCCTGATGAGGTGTAATCAGGATGTGATAGGGAAACACACAGAAGTTAGCCTCACAAGTCCCCCATTTGAGTTCCTGTTCTCCCACTCATTACCTATGTGATGTATGGAAAATTTGTCATTGTAAAGCTCTATATAAATGCAGACAATTATTGGAACCTAAGAATTGTGGGTACATTCATAAGATAGCTGAATCTTTCTATATTCCCCCAAATAAATGAAATGCTCAGAATATTTTAAGGATTTCTGGCGTTATTTTGTCTTTTTTTTTTCCAGATTAGGGCTAAAATTGAATAAACTGCTGTAAACACTTCTGTTTGTATCTTTCTGCGGACAAGTTTTTGTTAGGTACACCACCATATCTACTGAGTTTTCCATTTCACTAGATTTTCAAGTTTTTCCATCTGTAACAGGATGCTATCTATGTTCTGGTTCAGTCATCAAGTAGGATGTTCTTTCATTTCTTCAAAAACATCTAATGCTATTCTGATTTCTTTTTGGTTTGTTGAGAATTGACAGGTTACTCCTAAATATCATAAGAGTGTATGTTGATTGTGTGTATTTTGTTTCATTTTTGCCTTTTGATGATTGGGATAAAAGAGAGCTCTTTTTACAATCATGTGCCAACAGAAAAGACCTGCCCAAGAGTGTTCATTGTAGTATTTTTTTTATTACAGCTGAAAACTGGAAGAAGAGAACAAATATTCATCAATAAGAGAATGAATACATTATGCTATTATATATTCATAACTGGAGTGCCGTAAAACAATAAAAAGAAATAAACTACTGGTACATACAATATGGATCAAACTTATTGTGTTGAAGGAAAGAAACCAGACATGAGAGAGTACATCCTGAATAATTTCTATTTCTTTGAAATTTAAGACTGGCAAAAACTAATCAATGGTTATGGAATCGGAATAGTGGTTACTTATGGTAGTGAGAAAGTAGGGAAGGGGTATGACTGGGAATGCCATAGGGGAAAGTCACTAAAAGTGTTCTATATTTCATCAGGATGGTGCTTAACCAAATGTACGCATACAGAAAGGTGCATTGATTTTGTACACTTAAAATTAGTGCACTTGTTTACTTCACTGTATGTCATCCTTCAATTAAATGTTTTTCTTTACTATCAGAAATTTTACATCCTTCATATCTACTCTTTGCCAATATTACATCTAAATCCAAATTTATTTTTTCATGTTACATTTATTTCTTCAAACATAATTGATTACTTTCATGGGCTTTCCATGGTACTAGAAGCTGAGGGCTATAGTGAGGGGGGCATCCATGATTGCTGCCCTTAGACAGTCTTTAGCTCAGATGGAATGACAGCAATGGATGAAATAATTATAAAATCTCCAGTGTACAAAAGGGAGTGTGAAACCCAGGGCACTAGCCTAATCTGAGAGGTCAGAGAAGGAATTACCTTTTAACTGGGATATCAAGAATGAGCTGAATCTATCTAAAGGAGGAATGTTTGCTAGAGGGAATAGCATGTACAAAAATTCCTGAGGCAAAAAAGGTGTTCTCACCGTTCAGCAGAGGCTTCTGGGGCAGCGAGAGCCAGCGCGTGCGGCTGGAGAGGTAGCAGGGCCCACAGAGATATTAAGTCAGTCAGTTAGAATAATGCAGCTGTTCAGATACACATGACAATTTCAAATTAGAGATTATTTCAAATTTGCTTGGAGCTGCTGCAGTCTTATATCACTGTCAACACCCAATTGATTATTTTGTAGTGGTTGTCTGGTATTGAGAAAATCCAAATTAATATGGATAAACGGTTATGAATCATTTTTAATATCCTTCCTAGCAATCCCAGGAGACTTCATGATTCAATAGAGATGGCAGGAGACTCTTTTCTTCAAGTTGGAAAAGCAACAACAGCAAAAACCAAGCCAACTGACAGCACAGACTAACACAGTTTTATACTAGGGATTGCATTTTGTCAAATTCCAATTTATGAGAAAATTACATGAGTACCATATTTTTAACCACATTTTTAAACACATGTTTAAAATAATATTCTGATACAAATTTTGTAGAAACTCTGAGGCACTCAGTGGGAAAATCACCAGTGTTGTAGACCAAGGGATTTGGGGTTGGAGCCTCATCTTGTACCTCTCTATACAAATTTGAGCAAGTCTCAAACTTCCTTTTGATCATTTATGAAATGATGTCTGTTTTGCATTCCAACTGTGTTAGTCTCAGCTGCTTATGTAGAGCGACTCAGTTGGTCACCTGCCTTGCTCAAAGAACACCAAGTGTCTTTCAGGTGGCATCATGCCCAGCTCTATGCCCTGAATTTTGATTGGTAGAAATCTATCAAGGTAATCCCATCCTCTGACCAGGTGCTCACTTCCTCAGCCTCTCTTGCAGCTCAAGGTGTCCATGTGACACAGTTCTAGAAAATAAATTGCTCCTGGCTAAAACAGTGAAACCCAGTCTCTACTAAAAATACAAAAAATTAGCTGGTCGTGGTGGCAGGTGCCTGTAGTCCCAGCTACTCGGGAGGCTGAGGCAGGAGCATGGCCTGAGGAAACCAAGGCTCGGAGAATTTGCTGAGTTCACTTCGGGATCTAAGAAGTGACAGAGGCAGTAAGAAGCCTGGCCCCCTGGCCAGATAAACAATAAAGTGCAGGCCCTCTCCAATATGGCGGTGCACTGGAGAAAGAACACCCAGGCTTGATGGCAGGTGATGAATGAAGGGAAAGAACATTTCATAGAGAAGATAACACAATGGCCCAGGCCCTATAGGTGATCTATTGGCTTAAACTACTGCCACCACTTTACAAAGGTGAAAGGGCAGGGAGAAAGACAAGGGCAGAAAGCAAGAGGGAATGGTGCTTTCATTCCCTGATTACTTTACTTTTATTTTCATTTTGAGACAGGATCTCTCTCTCTGTCACCCAGCTGGAATGCAGTGGCACAATCATGGCTCACTGCTGCCTTGAACTCCCAGGCTCAAGCAACCCTCCCACCTCCACCTCCAGAGTAGCTGGAAAGCGCCACCCCTGTCAGCTAAACTTTTAGTGTTTTGTAGAGACAGGGTCTCCCTATGTTGCCCAAGCTGGTCTCAAACTCCTGGGCTCCAGTGGTCCTCCTGCCTCAGCTGCCCAAACTGACTGGACTACAGATATGAGTCACTGTGCCCAGCTCATTTCCTGATGAGTTTAAGTGGAGTCTTTCATTTTTTTTTTTCTATTTTACTTTAAGTTTGGGATACATGTGCAGAACAGGCAGGTTTGTTACATAAGTATACATGTGCCATGGTGGTTTGCTGCACCTATCAACCCATCATCTAGGTTTTAAGCCCCACATGCATTAGGTATTTGTCCTAATGCTCTCCCTCCCTTTGCCCCCCACCCCCCGACAGGTCCCAGTGCATGATGTTCCCCTCCCTATGTCCATGTGTTCTGATTGTTCAACTGCCACTCATGAGTGAGAACATGTGGTGTTTGGATTTCTGTTCCTGTGTTAGTTTGCTGAGAATAATGGCTTCCAGTGTCATCTATGTCCCTGCAAAGGACACGAACTCATTCTTTTTTTATGGCTGCATAGTAATCCATGGTGTATATGTGCCACATTTTCTTTATCCAGTCTATCACTAATGGGCATTTGAGTTGGTTCCACAGTCTTTGCTATCGTAAATAGTGCTGCAATAAACATAGGTGATCATGTGTCTTTATAGGAGAATGACTTATAATCCTTTGGGTATATACCCAGTAATGGGATTGCTGGGCCAAATGGTATTTCTGGTTCTAGATCCTTGAGGAATTGCCACACTGTCTTCCACGATGGTTGAACTAATTTACACTCCCAACAACAGTGTAAAAGCATTTCTATTTCTCCACAGTCTCACCAGCATCTGTTGTTTCCTGACTTTTTAATAATCACCATTCTAACTGGCATGAAATGATATCTCATTGTGGTTTTAATTTGCATTTCTCTAATGACCCGTAATGATGAGCTTTTTTGACATGTTTGTTGGCCACATAAATGTCTTCTTTTGAGAAGTGTCTGTTTATATACTTTGCCCACATTTTGATGGGGTTGTTTGTTTTTTTTTCTTGTAAATTTGTTTAAGTTCCTTGTAGATTCTGGATACTAGCCCTTTGTCAGGTAGGTATATTGCAAAATTTTTCTCCCATTCTGTAGGTTGCCTGTTCACTCTGAAGATAGTTTATTTTGCTGTGCAGAAGCTCTTTTGTTTAATTAGATTCCATTTGTCAATTTTGGCTTTTATTGCAGTTGCTTTTGGTGTTTTCATCATGAAGTCTTTGCCTACGTCCTGAATGGTATTGCCTAGGTTTTCTTCTAGGGTTTTTATGGTTTTGGGTTTTACATTTAAGTCTTTAAACCATCTCGAGTTAATTTTTGTAAAAGGTGTAAGGAAGGGGTCCAGTTTCTGTTTTCTGCATATGGCTAGCCAGTTTTCACAGCACCACTTATTAAATAGGGAATCCTTTTCCCGTTACTTATTTTTGTCAGGTGTGTTGAAGATCAGGTGGTTGTAGATGTGTGGTGTTATTTCTGAGGTCTCTGTTTGGTTACATTGGTCTACATATCTGTTTTGGTACCTGGTAGCATTCTGTTTGAAAACTGGCACAAGACAAGGATGCCCTATCTCATCACTCCTATTCAACATATTACTGGAAGTTCTGGCAAGAAAAAAAAATAAAGTGTATTCAAACAGGAAGAGAGGAAGTCAAATTGTCTCCGTTTGCAGATGACGTGATTGTATATTTAGACAACCCCATCATCTCAGCCCAAAAACTCCTTAAGCTGATAAGCAACTTCAACTAAGTTTCAGGATACAAAATCAATGTGCAAAAATCACAAGCATTCCTATACACCAATAATAGACAAGCAGAGAGCCAAATCATCAGTGAAATCCAATTCACAATTGCTGCAAAGAGAATCAAATACCTAGGAATACAACTTAAAAGGAACATGAAGGGCCTTTTCAAGGAGAGCTACAAACCACTGCTCAAGGAAATAAGGGAGGACACAAACAAATGGAAAAAAAATCCATGCTCGTGGATAGGACGAATCATTATTGTGAAAATGGCCATACCGCCCAAAGCAATTTACAGATTCAATGCTATTCCCATCAAGCTACCATTGACTTTCTTCACAGAATTAGAAAAAAAGTACTTTAAATTTCGTATGGAACCACAAAAGAGCCTGCATAGCCAATCACATCAACTTTCAGGTGGCCCAAGGAGGAGGAGATGGACCCACACACCCTAGCTAGCCAATTCTCTCCTCTTCAGTCTAGCTACAGCTTTTAAAATTCAATTGATCTAACCCAAAGGTCTTCCTGGTCTTGAAATGTGCATAACATACTGACAAGTCTCATTCACTTTCGTTCTGGTGTTCTCCACCCTTTTCGTGGTACCATTTTTTTAGCTGAATTCTTCTACTCATTCTTCTGTGAACCAAACTCAGAGAGACACAGGTGGATCCTGGAAACCTGTTTATCTAAGTTTTTACATATTTATATACTGTCTGGATCTCTAAAAAATACAATATGGGATGCTGAAATATACACATTACGACCAAACTGTCTCCTCTTCTTTTCCGTCTCTCTTCCTCTCCTTTGGTGATGACATCATTAAGAAGGGAAAATAAGAGTATAGACTAGACAAGATAAAACCAGGAATTAGGTTTTCATACAAAAGGGTAAAGTGCACATGATCAGATTCTGTATACTTGTGAAGTCATTAAGAACATGGATTCTGGAGTCAGACTGCCTGGATATTAACCTCACTTCTACAATTTATCTTGGCAAAGTTATTTAATTTCTTTGTGATTTGATATCTTTGTATGGTCATAATATTACTTACCCTATGTGGTTGGCTGTGGCTTAAAATAGTCAAAACGTGTAAAAACAATTACAAAAGTGCCTGGCATACAATTTCTCTAAAAGTGTTAGCTCTTACTAGAAGAAATCATAATGATTCTTGTTACTATACTGTATAGAGACTGAAGGATATGACACTTACTTTGGGTCTGCCTGATTTTTAGTAAGCCCAGTATCAGCTTTTCAGATCCATTATAAAAACAGAGAAGTTAAAATCATTCAATATATATTATCTAATAGCTAGGACTATTCTTTTATTACAAAATGCTCTTAAAAGTTTCCAAAATCATAGAAGAAATGTATAGAAAAATTCAAATTCTAACACATTAACTCATTTCCTATGAGATTTTGCTTTTTGAAAGTATTAGCAAGATCTTCAGAGGTATTTTCACTTTTTAAAAATTTGATTGTTTTTCAAAGTACTACCAAATAAATTTTTATCACTGTATTTCTTTACGCATGATTAAGAAGTGAGAGTGACTGGCCTTATATCTAGATTCATCTTAAAATAATGTTTTATGGAGTATCAGATAGCCAAATTACTACAACTACCTGCTACAACACACCAAAAAAAAAAAAAAAAAACAGTTTATGAATAAATTCCTACAGGTCTACTTTAACTGCAGTCCTGCCACTTTAACGTTATTAACGTTACAACTTGGGTAGTTAAATGGACATGGTGGAGAGTTTCTTTTCAACCAATAGTAAAAAATAGTAATAAATCCTTAGCACTACATTTTCTGAAAAGACTTGGCTTATGTGCATGAGGTCCATTGACTAGAGTCACAGTTGCAGTTGCTGAACTGGATAATTAGCTCAAAGCTTGGACTAAGGTATTTTTAAAAATAATCTTTTGCTATGTGAAATTATCTGATAAAATAATATTCAGATCCATTTTCCTCTTATTGCACCAGTAACCAAACATAGGCAAATGTCTTCATTCATTTATTTATTCAACAAGTTTTTTAAATGTATTATGAGACAGGCATTGTACTAAGCCTAAGGGACAGAAAGGTGAATTAAAGAGACAGGGTAATTTCTCTTAAAGAACTTACCTCCATCCCATGGGGAGGCAGAAAGGAAACAGACAGTTTCCATATAACCGAGTGTGATATGGCCCAGTGGGGCAGTACAGTGTGTACTGTGGAGCTCTGGGTAGTGACACTTAACCACATGTTGAGGAGGAAGGGACAATTGAAGCTGAGGTCTGAGGAGCTTATGGAAATTAGTCAGAGGAAGATGGGGAGGGAGTAGATGGGGAGGACAGTATTCCAGCCAAATGAAGTATAATGTACTGGCAGTGCAGTAAGAACCATATACAAAAGTTTACAGGCAACTTACAGCCTAGAGTTTCTTCCTGCGTTTACAAGAATGAGAAAATACCTGCTTAGACATCAGACCCAGTTTGATGCATAAAAGAACCACTCCCTTTTAAAACAATTTCCCTCAAAGAAGTGAATTCGATAATAAGCAGCACAGAGAAAAAGAGGTGTTTGATACCGACTGAACAGAGTAACAATAAGCATTTCATTAGCAACTCTTGGGAGCTCAGTTGTGTGCTAAGTGCAATTAAATATGACTAAGTATTTAAGTTCTAATAAGGGAAAAGATTGCATACCTCTGAAAAACTGCAGTCAAAGTTTATATAAATTAAGGAATGAGGAAGTGGCATATAGATAGGGTGACCATACATCCCAGTTTTTCCAGGACACTTTCTAGTTTATGCCTGTTGGCTCTGCACAAATAATAATAGTGCCTACTTTCACTCTCAAAAGTAACCTGGGTAATACAATAAAATTATATGTAATGATTCAGAAAAAGGGATGAGGGTGTACTGGGTTATTGGGAAAGGTTTCATGGAGCTGGAGGGACTTGTAGTGGGGCTTAATGGCAAGATGGGATTCATTTAGAAGAAGCGCCATTGTTACAACTGAAGATCAAGCCCCAGCCAAGAAGCACCTGCTCACCATTTCCATGAAGTGAAGCCTGTCTATTCATTCACTTTCTCATTCATTCATTCAACAAATATTTATTGAGCACACACCCTGTACCAGGCACTGTTTAGTCACTGGGTTGCATGAGCAAATAAGCTGGCCAAGATCCAGTCCTCATAAAGTTCCAGTGGGAGATGAGGGGAGCAGAATTTATTTCTAAATAAACTGGATATTTTCAGATAGTGATAAGTGCTCTGAAGGAAATCCAAAAGGGTGATATGTTAATGAGAACCTGCAAAGTGGCTACTTTAGAGAAGGCCCTCTGAAGAGCTGGACTGTGAGTTCTGACCTGAATGAAAAGAAGCAGCTACCCATGAAATGATGTGGGGAAGCATTCAGGGTGTAGAGGAACACCCTGGCACAGGCATAAGCATGGGTTGTGGCTGGCAGTAATTGTCTACAGCAGGGATGATATTTTTTCACAGTATTAGGCAAGGCAATTAAGGAAGGGCATGGCTGCTCAGAGAGACAGTTTGCATTTGATTTTAAGTGCAGGGGGAAGACATTTAAACAATAAGCGGGCAAGTGGCATAAACTGAATCATGCCTTTAAAAGACCTCTCTGGCTGTCTTGTGGCAAACAGAACATAGGGGAGCCAAGAGGAAGCAGGGAGGCCAGTAGAGACACAAGAAGGAAAGTCGCCTTGCCTGAGTCGTTGCAGGGGAATCAGATGGATTCAATAGATGGATTCAAAATATATTTTGGAGGTAAGTTGACAGGGTTTGTTAAACGTTTTCTGAGGATGAGAAGTTGGGAAGTAAGTGGCACAAAGAATGAGAAATACTCCCTGGATTTGGCCTAAAATTTGGTGTGTGGTGGTATAAATATAATTATTGAAATGTTAGCACAGTTCCACTTTCAAGCGTCCATTCATGCTTTGACCAAACAGCAATTAACCTTGAAAAAGGGAAATGCTGATTTATATTAAGAACTCTTAGAACAAAGTCCATGTCCAATTCATCTCATTTCCTGTGATGCTGAAATGTACCATATGCAGAACAAATGCTCAAGAAAATTAAAATGAATGAATGAAAGCTTTTCCTGTGAATTCATCTAGATATTTCAGGAAAACATCTGCAGCAATATAGACTAAATCTGAGCACTAGGTGACTAGTTCATCTTTTCTCTCATTTATCATTTCTTTAGTCCTTTAACACCTATTAATTTAGTGCTCAGTTTGTGCCAGGCATTGTGTTAAGCAGATACGTAAGTTACGTAGTGCCAGTGCTAGGGAAGAAAAAAATTTGATGACAGCAAATGACAAATAACTCTGATGACAAAAAACTCAAATGACAGAGAACTGAAAGTCAAAGAGGGCTTCTTTGAGGAAGAAATTCTTGAGAGAAATGCTAAAGGCAAAAACTTGACAGGAGGAAGTTCATATAATTAGAGGACCCAAAAGAAGCCCTTGTGGCTGGAGCTGAGGGGCCAGAGAGCCCATGATGAGATGCAGCTAAGAGGTAGGCAGGAAGCAAATTTTGCAGGGCCTTGTGGGCTGATGCCAATGAAAGGTTGAAAGCAGAGAAGCTGTGATCAGATTTGCACCTTGAAAAGATCACCTTAGCTGCTGGTGGCCAATGACTAGGCTGCAGAAGGAGGCTAATCAAAGAGTGGTAGCTGGTCACATTCTCTTTGCAACCAATGCACATTCCTTGTCCAATCTGGAAATATAACATGGTCTGAATAATTGTCTTTGGTGAGAAAAAAAGATAAAAGATGCAATACATGCAAGAAGTTCAAGTAGTGGGCGTATAATTTCAGCTATCTAGGTAATAGTCAAGGCTTCCCAAAAGTCCTAACCTGAGAATAAACTTTCTGCAATTTTACTATCCAAGAAGCAGCTAGGAAAATATCATTATTTCGGGGGCTGGGTGCGGTGGCTCACGTCTGTAATCCCAGCACTTTGGGAGGCTGGGGCGGGCGGATCACAAGGTCAAGAGATTGAGACCATCCTAGCCAACATGATGAAACCACGTCTCTACTAAAAATACAAAAATTAGCTGGGCGTAGTGGTGCGTGCCTGTAGTCCCAGCTACTCGGGAGGCTGAGGCAGGAGAATCGCTTGAACCCAGGAAGCGGAGGTTGCAGTGAGCCAAGATCGTGCCACTGCACTCCAGCCTGGTGACAGAACGAGACTCCATCTCAAAAAAAAAAAAAAGAAAAGGAAAAGAAAATGTCCCCTGCGGTGGCTCATGCCTGTAATCCCAGCACTTTGGGAGGCCAAGACGGGTGGATCACGAGGTCAAGAGATTGAGACCATCCTGGCCAACATGGTGAAACCCCGTCTCTACTAAAAATACAAAAATTAGCTGGGTGTGGTGGCGCATGCCTGTAGTCCCAGCTACTCAGGAGGCTGAGGCAGGAGAATTGCTTGAACCCGGGAGGCCCAGGTTTCAGTGAGCCAAGATCGCGCCACTGCACTCCAGCCTGGTGAAAGAGCAAGTCTTGGTCTCAAAAAAAAAAAAAAAAAAAAAAAAGGAAAGAAAATGTCATTATTTTTTTGTTAACTTTGATTTTAAACTAATAGCTGTTTTTTTGTTTTTTGTTTTTTGTTTTTTTCCATTTTAAGTGTAACGAATATTTATTTTCAAAAGTTTAGTACATGGGCCTGGGGAACATAGGAAGACCCTGTTTCTACAAAAAGTTAGCCAGGCATGGGGTACGTCTGTACCCCAGCTACTTGGCAGGCTGAGGTGGGAGGATTGCTTGAGCCTGCGGGGTCAAGGCTTCAGTGAGCCATGATAGTGACACTGCACTCCAGCCTGGGTGATAGAGCAAGATACTGTCTCAAAAAAAAAAACCAAATGTAGAAAGTAAGAAGAGAAAAATACCCTTAATATCTCCCCAAAATAGCCTCTGTTAATATTTTACTATATTTCTCCATATACTTTTCATGCAACTTTCTTTTTTCTCCCACAGATTTGTTATTATGCTGTTTACACAATTTTGTTTCCTTTTACTTAACCTTATAGCACAATAATAATAAAAACTGTTTCTTTCTGACTTTGTCCAAGGTCTTAAGTAACCCTCTCCCTCCTCTCTAACCAGATATTCTGTTTATGGGTCACCTATGACAAAGTGCTTGTCTCCTATGTGTCCTGACATAGGCAAACCTTTAAAATATTTGTTTATTTTCTTCTTTGTCAGAAATGTCTGATTTCCCCCTGTGTTGATAAAAGATTACCTTCTCACTGGAAAGGGGATGTGAAAAGCTGCTAAAAATTTCAGAAGTCAATTTCTTTCAAATAGCTTAACTGACCATTTATGTCACCCAAACATCTACACTGTGACATTCCAAAGATAGCATCTAAGCTGTGTTACCATTTCCAAATATTAGAACTTCAGTAAATCCATGAAGTTAATGTATACTTCATTTTATTTACTAAAATGGTTCCAGTTTAAGAAATTGTTGTAAGCCAAATGAAAGACATCCTAGAAGTACTTTTCCTTCTTCAGGTTTGAGGAGTGGGGTGGACTGAATAACAACATCATTTCCTTTGCCTGAGAAATAAATGAAATTGCAGTATGCTAAGTTGCACATATTTTTCATTAGCACTTAGCTACCGTGTCTACACTAAGATCCATTTATCTCATACTTTTTTTTTCTTTTCAGATAAAACTTTCAAATGCTTACATTTCACTGCCTGTTGGTTGATTGGATAATTTGAACATCAAAGGAAACTTTCATTTAATTTAAGCCGTAAAGTTGTCTTTTGCTTTATTAACTCTCGATCAATAAACAAGCAATTTGGAAATGTAATCAGGAAATGCTTCCGATTGGCTGACAATGTATCAAAGCCAGGCTTCAAGGCAACAGCAGGCTGTAACAAGCAGTTTATTACCAGTAGCTGTTACTGACATTAGTCAAAACCAAGAAAGATAAAATGGAATAAGAAATGTAATGCTGGAGGAGCCTTGGGCGCTGTGTTCTCTTCTTCCTTTTGAAAACTGCAAGCCTGTCTTTGATATGATAACAAATATAAACTGTTTAAAAACACCAAATGCAGAAAAACTGAGCCTAGCCTGTCATGGAGTTAATCCATTCCAGAGTGACATACAAATAGTGTAACATCCAGCAGATATATGTTATGGAAATATTTTGAATTGGATTTACATGTAGTGAGCAAATTGGAACTTTTGATTTTTACCAGATATTGTAATATGCATGTTCTCATATTAACGGAATGTAATCCTATTTGAAGATAATGAGTTTTCAACAGGCTCTGCAATTGGAAGCTACATGAAAAAAAAATTGTTTGGTTTTTAACTAGAGAGGGGCCAAGAGAATTGGACCCTAAATTTGCAGGGTAGCCTCACTTTCTATCAGCCAGCTGCATGTTATTTTGCCCTCGGTTACTGCTTACCAAGAGATTTCTGGGATTGATGGGTTTTAGGCTTTTTTCCCCCCCTTTATCTCTGGACTGTCCATTGCCATGGGCAAATAGCAAAGTACAGAGCACTTGACAGGGATTTTTCTTTGCACACATCACTCCTTACAGTCATTCTAAACAGTCTGTGCATATCTTTCATACAATTAAAAAAGGAGAGAAGGGAAAATATCCTTTACTCTTGTTGGTTTGAAAACTCCTTTAGATATTGAATACAGATTCACAGAATTATTTTTCATTGCACTCAGAAAATTATAAGCCACACTGATAGCAAAATCAAATAGACTTAACACAAAGGGGAGATGAAAAGAACCAAGAAGGGATTCTATTTTTTATTGCTTTCAGAGGCATCTCTGCCTTGGCACGTCGGCCATGCTGAGCCCGGCTACCTTTTCATCACCATGTCAGGAGTTCCTCTCCTAGATCAGTTAGAGATATCCATATTTCAAAATAAATAAAATATATATTGTTTGATGAAGTTTTCCTTTAGGGGCCTATATATCGAAATGAGTCTATGAGACCTGGCTGGTGTATTCTGCTAGGATTACTGACCATAATCTCCATCTACTATTTTCTCCAGTGGCCAGGCATATTAGATAGTAATTTTTCTCTGAATAACTAGCTAACCACTTGCCCTATTTGTCTTCAACACATAAGTAAACATACTGAAGCATTACAAAAGCTCCTCTTAGTAAATGGTGCATAATTTGGTGCATGGGTATTTCAGTCTTAGCTTGACTACCTCACTATTAAGCTGCATGATAGGTCTCTTGAAACATTCTTTTAGTTTGTTTTCTGCTTATAGGTTCAGAAACTATGGTATACTAAAAATCTATACATATGCAGAGTTATCCATTTTTCTCTTGTAACTAACTCCTGTAATGATGAAAATAAACCCTCTGAGCTGAATCGGCTACTTGGTTTTGACTGACATCTTTTGAATAGATTTAGACAAGCTAAAAATTTTGACTCATTTGGCATACTACAAATATTAGGAGAAAATAGCTTCATTAATAATTGCAATTCAAAGTTCTCATGACACTCAACCCAACAATTTCCAGGAAATCATAAGTTACAGTAGGCCTTCACAAATATATTGTGAAAAATAAACAAGATATAAAATATTTTTTGAAACTGATGTCATAAAAAGTCACACATTTCTTAAACATCACTATAGGATATTAGTCATATTCTCCAAGTCTAATGACAGTCGAATTTTTAACAATCAGCTTCTGATTCACAGAGATCAGAAAATTTTATATCAGTATTCTGGTGACCTCACCAAATTCAAAATGTGTATTCTTTCAGAAGGAGCAATAATAAAAGTCTCTTCAGCTTTATAATGGAAGGCTGAACAAGAAGTTCAGACTCAGAGACCAAAAGACATTGAGAGAAGGAAGTATTTACCACCAATGTATGATACAACAAGCCATCGAGATAGTGCCGCCATGTATTTAGATTTATTTAGCCCTCCCTGTGTTCTATGTTTACTGTGCATGCAACTTAACACCTATTGCTATCAATGAGAATATGTAGAAGTCAAAAAAAGTGTTTTAAAATAGATTTATCGTTCATCTGTTAGCACCTGAAAACCAAAGAAAAGAAGTCAGTAGTTTAACAGTTTTGGAAGTTTCTTTTTTTTTCCTTTCCTAAAATTGATCCAAAAAATCTATGTGAGGTTATTTATAACATCTGAAGCTTTGTGCCTCTAGGACAAAGTGTGAGACTATCAATGTTGAAACAAAACTTTAGAGGGGAAACATTAAATATTGTGAAAAGAATAGTGTCAATTGTTTAAAGACCAAGGACAGTGCAGCACTGGAGAGAAAGAAAAGGCACAAATGGTGTCATTTATTAGTTCTAGAAGATTACGTGGCATTTCACTGCTTTCACTATGCTCAATAGAGAGTGAAGCAATTTGTTATAAAAGTGATTTGTCTAGGATAAGTACAAGTGTTGAGACAGTGGCTATGAAGATTACTTTGTAATGTTCTCACTTGTGTATCTGACAGATTTTTAAAAATCACCAAAAATATTAGTCTTTTGAAGTATTCTGTTTTGTTTCTTATTTATGAAAGAAATATGATTAGTTCATGTTAGAAAGCAGAACTCTGGAAGGTGGTCCCTTTGTAAACTAAGCCTTACACTCATATCACCTGTTCCATGAATTATCACCTAATGATGCCAAGGGGTAACTGGGCTGCATCTTTTAACTCACAGATAAAGTGCCCAGGGACCAGTAGATAAATATACTGGGAACACGTACAGATAATTTACACTACCGAATACGTAGAGTATAAAACTGGGCATGTTTAACCTAGATACTAATTGAATATGCAAAATTTGAATATAGTGAAGGTATGGGCCTGAGAGAAAGGGAAGAACATTGGATGACGCCCAAGTGTCTGGTTGGAGCAAATGTGTAAAAGATGGTGCCATTTGCTGGGATGAAGAATATGAAGTGGGGAGGAGTTGGAGAAAATAAATAAAATGTACATTTTGGACATGTTATTTTGAGGTTTCTAAAAATTCAGGTCGACATGGCGACATCATGGAGGCTGCTAAAAACGTAAGAGTGGTGGTCAGAGGAACACTGTGATAGATAAATGTGGGGATCAGCAGCATGGAGTTGACAAAGGTCATCTGAGGAGAGAGCCAGAGAGAGGAAAGAGGTAAGAGCCAGGTCTTGAAGAGCCCCACATTAAAAAGAGCCAGGAAAGGAAACTGGGAAGAAACCATCAGTGAATGAGGAATAAGGCCACAGGAGGGGGAGGTTTCCACATCCACACGAAGGAACACTGAGAAAATATTGTGGACTCTATTAATAGAGTGATTCTTAGAGCTCATGAAGAATGAGGACAGAAAGGTAACCATTGCCTTTGACAACGTGGAAGTCTTTGGTGTCCTTGACAAGAGTGATTTCTGTAGCTTGCCAGGGTAGATACCATATTAGAGTAAATTGAATAGACTCTAGGATGATAAATTGTAATTGCACAGGAAGTGGTGAGAAGGCAGAGTTTCCTTTGGCTTTGTTTTAAAAGATAGGATATAGAAGAGAATGTTTACCTGCTGATGAGACTTATCCAATGTATACAGATGGACAATACAAGAACAAGACGATAACAGAAAAGGGGAAGCAACCGAGAATGTGGGAAATGATGGAATTCAGGCTTGATATTGATAGGTGGGCTACTTGCAGCACTGACAAAAGGAAAGATGATTGATGCAGGGAAAGCTGATAAATGCCCACAGTTATGAGTGTGTGAGTGTGTGCACACGCATACATGCATGCTATAGTGATAATTGCACTTTCAAGAAATCTTGACATCAAAAATTAAATTATATGGAAATGGTTTCCAAGAGGAAAAAAAAGAGGCTAAGTAACTAGATACTTTCCCTTGTAAAGAAAACTTTTATATGGCTCCGTGCTAAACACTATTAAGCAAACGCAGGTTTTGATTACTTCCAGCTTTTGCATTTGAGTAATGACCTTTATTTTCAGATTAACATTTTATTAAAACAGGACTTCTTATCACCTTCTCACTTTTAGTACCTATTATTATCATAAATTAATGTTTCTCAAAGTGTAGTCCATAGATCCCTTCTTGAGACCCTTTCAGACTTTTGAGACTTCAAAACAATTTCTATAATAGTACAGACACTTTTTTTGTCTTTTTCACTGTGTTGACATTTGCACCAATGATACAAAAGTACTGATGATGAGAGATACTGCTGAAACCTTATCCTAAATCATGTAGGGGCACCAAATTATACCAACAGTTATTGTATTTTTACCATTGTGAACTCTCAGATAACCAAACAAAAAAGTCAATTTTACCTAAGAATACCCTTGATGAAGCAGGAACCATTAATATTATTGAATTAAGTTATAAATTTAATAAATAATTTTAGTAAATTAAGTTACTAATTTAATAAAATTAATGCCTTGAGTACATGGCTTTTCAATAATCTGTGTGATGAAATGAGAAATACACATAAAGTGCTTTTGCTGCATATTGAAATACGATGGTGATCTCAAGGAAAAGCATTTGTGCTATTATTGCAAGCTTCGCTAGGTGCCTTTTTATAGAATATCATTTTGACTTAAAAGCCCAATTGTCAGCTGGGAGCGGTGGCTCGTGCCTGTAATACCAACACTTTGAGAGACTGAGGTGGGTGGATCACAAGGTCAGGAGTTCGAGACCAGCCTGGCCAGCGCTGTCGAAACCCTGTCTCTACCAAAGATACAAAAAAATTAGCCAGGCATGGTTGTGCACGCCTATAATCCCAGCTACTAGGGAGGCTGAGGCAGGAGAATTGCTTGAACCCGGGAGGTGGAGGTTGCAGTGAGCCGAGATCGCGCCACGGCACTCCAGCCTCGGCAATAGAGCAAGACTCTTTATCAAAAAAAAAAATAAAAAAGCACAATTGTCAGATTAAGGATGGTTAGTGTGTATTTGACAGGTATTTTCTCAAAAATAACCCAGCCATCATTTAAACCCTGCAACTTTTTGCAAGAGAGTGAATGCAGAAGCAGATATGAGAGTGTCTTCTATGAAGCTAGACATGGAAGATATTTGCAAAAAAAAAAAAAAGTGAAATGATGTCATTCTCACTATTTTCTTGTGGTTGTTTTGAAAATATATTGCATTTTTCATAAAAAGTTTCAATAATGTGTACAAAAAGTAGAATTGTTATTTTGACATAAGCTAATAACAAACATTTAAAAGATTTCTGTTTCTAATTTCTTATATGGCAAATACCATTAAATATGACACACACAAACAAAAACTCTTTGGCATACTCAAAATTTTTAAGAGTCTACAGTAGTGGTAAGACCAAAAGTTCAAGATCCACAGTTCAAGATCCAGATTTAAACAATGTATCTAATCCATGGAATATATATTTTTTCTTTTGTGTGTGTGTGTGTGTGTATGTGTGTGTTTTAAGACAGAGTCTTGCTCTGTCACTCAGGCTAGAGTGCAGTGGCACAATCTCGACTCACTGCAACCTCTGCCTCCCCGGTTCAAGAGATTCTCCTGCCCCAGCATCCAGAGTAGCTGGGATTACAGGTGCACACCACCACACCCAGCTAATTTTTGTATTTTTAGTAGAGACGAGGTTTCACCATGTTGGGCAGGCTTGTCGTGAACTCCTGACCTCATGATCTGCCTGCCTAGTGTTTTTATGTTTGGTTTCGTAAGTAAATCAAGTTCCCCGATTAAGTAATATGTCCAATTTTCAATATGATCACATTCTACACAAATGCCTGTTGCATTTATATTAATAAAAAGAAGGATGAATGCTTTAATTTTTACTCTCATTCTTTAGCAATAATTATACATGTAGGTTGAATTGAAAATCGCAGTCCTTCAGAAGATTCAAGATGTCTAAATCTCTGTGCTTTGGCTTATGTTACCACAGGGCTGGTGGGAAGATGATAGTGGGTGAGGCAGGACGAGAGGGTTTGGTTTCTACTTCCAGCTCTGCTCCTAACTTTGATCAAATCCCTTAAACCCTTTGGCCTGAAATGTCTCATATTTCCTTTGTAATAAGGAAAATTATATAATTGTTTCTCACTTCCTTTCAGTAATTTGAATTTCATGTAATTCTGATAAAGATGTCACCAAATTGTCCAGTCTAAAAGTTATCCCCCCAAAAGAGAGAGTAGAGCAACCAAAAGCAACTTCAAGATAACTCAAGTTCTTAACCTTCATTTCTTGAATGCCTCAAAGACTGCAGTAATAATTTTGACACTCACCTTTATTCCTCTCATCTTCGTATATCTATAGGATCCCCATTGCATACACCCCATTTTCCCTCACAATTCACATCAGAGATACCAAAGAGCAGGTATAGCAAAGTAAAATCCTCCTCCAGCCCCTGTAGCCCCACTTTACAGAAATACTATTCATGGTTTTGTGCATCCTATACATTTTCCATATTCTGGAATCACCTCCCCACTGCAAGAGATAAAGAATGGGTCCAGATTTTGTATCACTATAAAAAGTATTTAAACTAACACAAGAACAGAAAACCAAACACCACATGTTCTCACTCATAAGTGGGAGTTGAACAATGAGAATGCATGGACACAGGGAGGGGAAGATCACACACCAGGGCCTGTCAGGGTTGGGGGTGCTAAGGGAGGGATAGCATTAGGAGATATACCTAATATAGGTGATGGGTTGATGGGTGCAGCAAACCACCATGACATTTGTATACCTATGTAACAAACCTACATGTTCTGTACATGTATCCTAGAACTTACAGTATAATAAAAAAGTATTTAAATAACATCTTTATACATATAACTGAATAATTTTGCAATGATATCTTCATAACTTCATAATTAAGTGGGATTTTTTTAAAGTTATCCTACCAGAAGGCTGGACAAATTTTTATTCCTACCCAAGTATAGTTTAATGCCTGCTTCTCCAAACCTTCCTCAATACCAGCTTTGATGAAACTTTAAAAATTTTTTGCTGGACTGATAGAGTTTAAACTGGCATCTCATACCGTACTAATTTGTTTCCCCTTATTAATTTATGTTAATTAAAAATCATACTTTTATATGTTTATTGCCCATTTGAATTCTTTAATTCCTTATTGAAGGCTACTTTTTTCTTTCTTTCTTTTTAGAGACCTGATCTGACTCTGTTGCCCAGGCTGGAGTGCAGTGGCATGAGCATAGCTCACTGCAGCCTCAAACTCTTGTGCTCAAGGGATCCTCCCACCTCAGCCTCCCAAGTAACTGGAATAACAAGGCGTGAATCACTGAGCCCAGTTAATGACTACTTTCTAATATGTTGCTAGACCTTTACTAAATTATTTATAGAAATTGTTTTCTTTAGCCTCAACTTGCAAATATTTTCCCAATTTTTGTTTCTTTTTTAACTTAAAAATGTTTTTACATAGGAAGATATTTCAAATTTTCCTTTTATCTACCAATATATTTCTATAGCTTTTCAGTTTTATCATGGTTAGAGAGGTCTTAAGCTTACTTTGTTTAATCACCAAGATTATTCAAAACTTTTAATATTTCATTTTTATGCTCAAATTTTGGAGCCAAATAGAATTCATTTTGAGTAAGGAGTAAGATAAAGCTTCAGTTTTATTACTTTCCAAATGGCTAGCCAGTTGTCCAATACCCTTTATTGAATAATCCTTCTTTTCTACAATGTTTTGAAAGGCCACCTTTATCATATCCCAAATTTGTACATTTTCCTGTATGTCTGACCTCTCTGAATACAGAGTTAAAGGTGAAAGACAATAAATGAAGTAAGAATAAAAAAGATAAAATAGAAAATTAGTCAAAATAGATTAAGAAAAAAGAAAATAATTTTTAGAGGAATATTAAAAATGGAGCCATCATATTTTTTTTATTTTCCTTGGTTTCAAGAGCATATGCTACATTTGTTAACTAGCCTATAGAATATTGAAAGTATTTTCACCCTATTCATGAGATTTGAATTCTCACTGTAAATAGTATAGAATGAATGCGTGAGCACTAGCTGTCATCATTTTTCTTAATCTTGGATCATCACTAATGTTAAGGCACTGGGAATATAAAGTGTCTTTAAAAGATCTTGTAAGGCATAAGCACACAACACATAAAACAGTACTCCATAGCTAATGGAGAGAACATCTCACCACCAACAGGAATACTTCCATTCTGAGTGTTTTTGTCTCTGTTTTCAGAGAAAGGGGCTATTTTTAATTGCAGGAGGAAAGAAGTGTGTGTGTTTGTGGGGTGTGTGTGTGTGTGTGTGTGTGTGTGTGTGGCTTATGTGACGTCAATGGAAAATAGAGGAAGATGCAAGGGCATCAACCATCCCCAAGCATCTTTGGACTAATTTTAATTATCCTTGAAAAAAGGTTTTGGATTCAGAAGCAGATGGGACTCCTGAAAGGGCCTTTCTGAGAGTATGGGAAAAAGAATTGCTGCTTCTGGGGCCCGGATGACCACATGTGGCTCAGAGTTGGAAGGACACCATTTTCCTTGGCTCTGCACAGAACCCAGCACCTCACCAGAGTTGCAGTGACTGGAAACCCATGCAGCATCAGTGAGCGCATCCCTGGCGAGAACATTCCATTCTCTCGGTGCTAATGAGGATGCTCTAATAGTCTGGTTTTGGCAGCATTTGTAGAAAAAGAAGAAATGGAATGGAAGAAAGAGCAGAACAAAGGAAGCTCACTAACTGCTACTGAACTTTGCCTTGGGGTCACATGGAAGGTACCTCTTTGTAGGACAGTGAGGGAAAGACTAGAATCAGGAACCATGAGCCTGTTCCTCCTTTTGTGGAAGCTGTGAGGGAATAAGCATTTGGAGTCACAGATATTTGGAGGATGAATGAATGAACTAACCAATGAAAAATCTTTACTGTAAAAACAATCTTTTTAGCACTCTAAGTGGTTGATCTTACTTGGACTGAATATTAAAAATTGGCCAAATTAGCACCAAGAACAAGAAATACAGTCTTTGAAAATTAGAAATTGGAACTTACTAGAGCATAAGTGGCTGTTTTAAAATGTTTCTGGTGGCACTTGGTTATTGTTACCATGTTTTTAACCTACATCATTGGGGTTTGATCACTTTCTAACATCATCATCTCTGAAACACACATTTTCTAGTAATTATAAAACTGCAGCCTCAGGGGTAGCAATCCTCAGCTCAGAGGTCCTAGGTAAAGTTCGGGGCAGACAGGACATGCATGTATTAGAGAACCCAAGTCAGTGTTGTTTGATATAAGCAGGAAGGAACTAAGGGGGAAAGTGGGCTCACATTTCTTTCTCATTTTTGTCTTGAATTCCCTGGTGACTTAATATCTGAGTTAGTTTTCACGAGGGAGGGATGTAAATGGATGAGGAATCGGCCCCAGTTTGGATAGCTGAGCAAGTTCTCCTGAGAAACAGCTACATGACCCTGCTAATTCTGATAACACAGTTCAGGGAAATAAAATCCAGGGTGTCTTTTCCCACAAAAAGTACGATTTATACAACTCTTGAGCATTCAGCATTATCCTCTGGAAACTAGGAGGATTCGTGCAACTTGAAGAGTTACATAGGACTTACTAACCCTAGAGAGAATATTCTTTATATAGTTTTATGAGGATATTTATAAAATAATTAGGTCTTTAATAACATGGTCCTGAACTCTTAACTGTTTAACAAACACCTCGAGTTAAATAATTCATACATTAATAGATATATAGGACAAATTTTAATGCTTAAAGTATTTGAATCAAATGACCCTAAAAGAAGACAGGTATTTGATCAAGCCAGGTAAATACTGCAATGGATGGGGAGTCTAAGCACAGCTGTCTGGGTACCAGGCAATTTCCTTGGTTCTTTATATGAATTATGTGATGTGAATTATGTCCTGCATAAATGGTGACTAGAGGAACAAAGGTGTTATAACTCAGAAATTGCATCAGTACATTTTATCCAGCACATTGGAATCGTCACCACAGAATCAGCACAAAGCAATTGTGGGCAAACTTAGATACAACCAAGTAGAAAGTCTTAGCAATTAATAATGATTTTAAGAAAATTTAATGGGAGTAGCTGTTGATTTCATGGTTTAAAAAATTGTGGGGCCAGGTGTAGTGGCTCACGCCTGTAATCCCAACACTCTGGGAGGCCGAGGCAGGCAGATTGCCTGAGGTCAGGAATTCGAGACCACCCTGGTCCACATGGTGAAACCCCGTCTCTACTAAAAATACAAAAATTAGCCAGGCATGGTGGCGGACACCTGTAATCCCAGCTACTTGGGAGGCTGAGGGAGAGAATTGCTTGAACCCAGGAGGCAGAGGTTGCAGTGAGCTATCACACCACTGCACTCCAGCATGGGAGACAGAGCGAGACTCCATCTCAAAGAAAAAAAAATTGTGAGGCTGTCCACTATTTTAAGCTACTGGTAAAGCAACAGTGTAGGTGATGAAGCTGTAGAACTTGTTCCCCACCCTAAAGCAATGAATTTATGAAGAAGCCCACACCATGAGTCAGATTTTTATGAAAATAGTCTCTCTTAAAACAAATGTCCTCCAGGACCTGTGTCCTGGAGAAGAAAGCACTAGCTTAACATTTTAAGATTGCAAAGGAGTGACTATTTTACCTGGTGTAAATGCTAAGAGAATTGTAATTATGCCAGAATTTTCATTAGGATTGTTTCATTTTGTTTTTGCTATTAATGTTCTAGTTAAAAAGATCTATGGTTTGAGTAGTCTGCTCTATTCCTAGTTTTCTCATGAGCATCTTTATTTTTAGGGCAAAAATTCTATTGCCCCCAAGGTTTTTCAGAAGAACACACATGACCTTCTATCATCAATGCCCAAATTTTCACCTGAAATCCCTCCTCATAGTCTCCTAGAGTGAGTTAATTCCAGGGCTGACAACATTTGGGCTGTAGAACTTCTCTTGCCACTAGGAAAAGATGGTTGCCAACAGTACACAGTGCCTACAGGAGGTGGGGAGCACATTTTGTTATTCTGCGTGAAGTTGCAGTATAAAGTATGAGGCAGCCTTAGTTACGATCAATGTTCAAAGGTTTTAGGCGTCTCAGAATTTAATCTTCCCAGTTCTTTTTTATTGTTTTGGCAGTGCCAATAGGTGGATGAAGTTGGACCCTAAATGGATGCTACTGCGGTGACTGGGGCTTATCTCATACATGCTGAATCTTATGCCCATGCACTGTGAACTCTGGCGCCATACAGAAAGCTGACAAAAATGCTTCATTCCCTCAGTTCATGATATTCCACTCCTTTTTCTTTCTCATTTCTGCTCCAAGAATATAATCAAGGATGATAGCCAATTTTACCTATGAAATATACTGTCAAACACAGCATATTTTGTATGATAAATACAAAACTTAGTTTATGACAAGTATATTGTCAAGATAGAAGACACTGCCCAAAGAATTTTAATTTTTGAAATACAACAACAAAAGATTTTTGACAGGGGGCAAAAACAGGAGATGCCTTTCTTTCTAATTTCCATTACATTGTTAAATTAAGCCAAGATGATTACGGGAATGCTTGAATATTAACAATACATGTATTTTGTGGGTGAGGTGGCTGTCCACTTGTAAGATAAAGTTGATGATTTGCTTCCAAATATAAATGTATGAGATGAGCACACAAGGCACAGGTTCTTTCTTCTTTGGTGCTTATTCCCCCCCAGTTAAGTTTTTGCATTTTTTATAGAGTTGCTAGAATCACCATTAACATGCCTTCTTATACCGTAGATCATTTATAGATAATCAGCATAAAATAATTTATTCTTCATAAATAATACCAAAGTTGTTTCTGGATTTTCTTCTCTTATTGCTTTTCAGAGCCATGTATAATTCTCTAATGGAAATAATTTAAAATATACCAAGGATGTCTGTAAGTTAAAAGGATAATATAGAAATGGTTATTGAATCAGCACATTAGCTGTTAGCCTTTCTATTTGCTTATCATACAATGGGAACTGCTGTTTACTTTTTATTCTACAAAGGACAGGCCCACTTTCTGTCTCCAAACAGTTAAAGGAATTAGATGAGAAATTATCCCAAATGAACTGTACACAGTTTGATTAGCCTAGCTGCAGAGTATAGTTTCTGAAAAAAGAGTCATCAACACGCCGAGGTCAAATGCATTCTTACTGAATAATAAATTGAAGCCCCAAATGCTTTATGCAGTAGCATATTAGTATATATGATTCTTGTTAGCAATGCAGTAAGTATTTTAATTCGCTGAATATTTAGGATGGGTTATTTTAAAGCTGTCCCATTTAACATCACAACATTGAAAACAGGTTCTGTGTAAATAGGTCAAAAATGATATTCATATATAAAGGAGGACAGACTTTTTAAATACTGATAACAATATTGCTTGTTAAGATCTTTATGCCTTAAAAAGCTCCTTGGCATATATGATATAATGTCACTTTATCCTCACCACAGGCCTGTCAGGTATGCGGGAAAAACATATGTTTAGATATAATTTTTGTATCATAAATTGATCTAATGGAGACATGTACTTTGTAACCAAAAATAAGGAACATAAAAAAGTATACAATAAATACATATGTATATATACGTATGTATACACACACACATACGCACACACACATATGGTGTTTGCAGTTAAATAAAGCACTTGAAAATCATAAGCATAGATCAAATATGTCTTTTGTTACTATATAATAAAGTTAAAGTAGCCCAGTATTAGAAATAAAAAAAAAAATCACACACAAGGGCAACAATCCTTGATTTCAGTGTTTCCAACCCTGGAATAATCTGGTACCAAATGTTCAGCTTCCTTCCAAATCATTGGTCAATTGTTGGAATGTGTGTGATGCATGCATGTGTATGTGTGTGTGTGCATGTAAAAAGCAATCTTATTTGCAAAATATGCCAAGGCAAATATTTTGAAATGAAGTGGAAAATCAAGGTGTTGTCCACAGAATTTTGCATTTTTATCAAAAAGACCCTTAAGCATTCCCAGAAACTGGCGCTTCCACAGTGCCATGAGAAGTGAAAACATGTTTTGACCCAAACTGTAGCCATTTTATTTCACTTCCAAAGTATTATTCTACAATCTTTTTCACAAATATGAGAGTAACTATATTGTATACAGGTGTATTATTCATGTTTTACTGAATTTTCATAAGGAATAAAAATTTTAAAACAGAAAGGTAGATCGATCATGTGAGGAGATAAAACATTCCCATTCAACCGCAAAGATATTCCTAGGCATTGATCTATGAGTACCACTCGACCGCAGGAAATATTTCCCGGCCCTGTCTTTAGATAATATGTGGACAAAGAAGGCAAGATAAGCTAGAAGCATGTAGCATTTAATAGTTTAAATGATTGACACCGTGGGTTGCTAAGTTTCATAGATGCTTGCCTGAGTTCTTTACTTATTAAAAAATAAATAAATAAATAAGTAGAAGTTAGCAAAACAATAAAACAACAGATGTGCAAGCTCAAATTTAAAACCAAAGCCTTCCTTCTTCCCTTGTCTTTCCTCTTCCCTTTTCTCTGCCTGACTCCAAGCACACCTTTCCAGCTCATTACTGCAAATCATTTGAATTCCAGCACACAATGTCACCTGCTCTGTAATCTGATTACTTTATGGAGGAATTAGTATGTATATTTAATGTAGAAGGGTTTTAATCTTGATGAAAATAATCCTAAGGAACTGTGATAGGGCTGCTCATATATCTGGCAGATATGCCAGTAACATGCTAATAAATGACAGCTGATTTATGTATCTGGATTCTTTTATTTATAAAAATAGCAAGTGGACTGATTTTTGATATTAATAATACAAGTGAATCCACTTTGATTAGACTTCTGTGGAGAGCTGTGCATATCCGGCATTACAATTAAATCTTGTGATGTGGAATGGGAATGACATGCTAATGAAGCAAGCCAGTGAGCCTGAACCAAGAGTGTCCAACATCATTATGGGATATCTTAGATGAAGAGTAATTATAAGAGGAACACTGAAATGTCATTAAAAATCTTCACTAAGAGATTTAACCTACTATTTTGTACTAATGCTGGATTTTTTTTTAAGCAACATAACTGAACACAAAGTTCCTTTTCAGAATTTACAGGAAAAGGTTTTTAAATAGGTCTGGATTTAAGAAAAGAAACAATCTAGTGTCCTAATTTAATTTGGTACATCAAAATTCAATGGTGGTATGTAATTGAAATCTCTTTTTAATAATTTCAGATGAATTAGCAATTAGGGCTTGATCCGATTTCCATGAAATTTATTAAAATTGAGGGTTGAAGCCCTTGAAAATTTTTATTCTTTTCACTCCATTAGCACAATGCATCTAGTCTAAATGACTCTGTCAGTACAGTACATTCCTTGTTTATTTATGAGAATTTGTTTCAAGGAAGTTCAAAAGAGGTAATATCATGCATATTCATAGAATATAGCTTTAATATATAAATCAAGAGAACTCTCAAAGCTTAAATTCCCTCGATTTTGGGGGAAAGAATGTACTACCTTCACCTTCATAACCAGATTTTCTTCTGAGCAATGCTCACTCGGGCTCTGCCTGCGTGCAATTCACCCTGTCCCCTACCTCCATAGGAGGAAGACTTCTTCATGACAAGTCTCAATTGGGCACCATTTGAACAGGACTCAAAAAGATGAAACAGTGCCAGCTCTCAACAACATAAAATGTGCACTCCGAGCACTGACTCCAACTTCATAAATCCAGGAATCTAAAACTACAAGAAAACGTGACCAAAAACTTAGTACCTATCTCACTGCCTTGGCACCCAGCAGGAAAAACAGAGCGCTTCTCAGTGGCAAACAAATAAATTACGCACATGCTGAAAAACCAAAAGAAATATGCCAAGCATTTGTTCCCCTTCTCCGGGCTCTTTGTGAAGAACTGCAATTATGCTTAACAAAAACAGCATAGAACTAGTTGGCATCACTCTGAGACATAAATGTGTTTCTGTTCCAAATATGCAGCATTTTCAGAATGTTTGTATGTATTATGTGCAATTTGTTCAGTGTATCGTTCTAGGAAAACCAGGTCCTGACTGGGTAATTATGAGAAAGGTAAACAGTATTTTCCGACTGTGAGCTTCCATTTCTAAAGTTGGAGCAGAAAACTCGTATTATTTACCTTTTTAAAGAAACATTACCAACACAGGGCTTGCCAGTTTGCCTTCATCAAATTAGATTTTTTGCAAATGAGGTCTTTTCCTTGTTTAATGTAATGGGCCCCCTGAAGAAAACGATGTGGAAAATGGATCTCTTTCAAGTAGATAGTGAATGTGTTAAAGATACCTCATCTCACTAGGGTTCTGTAATGGAAATAAAACTGACTCTCTAAAATCCTTATCAGAAAATCCTGGGGTTTTCTATTTAGTTAAGTTTGGTTCAACAAGTCTTTATTCCTTATCTGTACAGTTTAGTGTGAAAGATGGCCACCCTATAGCAATATTTCACTATAATATTTTAAGGGCTAAGATAGAGATATGTTCTTGGTGCTATGGGAGCATCAGGAGTGGACTATGACTATTTGAGTAATGAGGCACCCTGGAGGATGAAATACTGAGTTAGGGATGGCTGAGATGGGTGGTGACAGCACAAGTTGAAAAGGGCACTGCAGACAGGAAAAATTATGACCAAAGATTTGGTGTCGTGAATCTAAATGGCATGTGTTGTGGGGTTGGCAAATGGCCAGGATCATAGTAGATGCAAGTACTCCATGACCTTCATATCACAAAGGACATGGTAGGAATGGCAGCAGATAAGACAGGAAGCAGCTGTAAGGTCCAGGGCCTAGAGGGCCTTCATATCATGATAAGCAAATGAAACTTTATCCTGTAAGTGACCTTCAGTCACTGAAGGGTTTTAAGCTAAGGAATAGCATGGTCTAGCATACATTTTAGGTAGATCGCTCATTTTCCTACCTTCACCTATGTTGGGACAGTTGTGCCTCTTAAACGTCCTTTCTCAGATTCAGCAGAGTTGGCTTCAACGAGTTTTATAACTAATGGAAATTCAGCAATGTTTCTACCAATAATACTGAAATAGTATTTTGAGGAGCATTGAGGTATTGCAGGTTCTCATGATGGCTGTTCTTGCTCTAGCTTCTTTAATATGCTTTCCATTCACAACCATTTTAAGCATTTTATATGTTCAAAACAGCAAGACGATCCTGAGCTCGGCCAAATTCCAAACCAGTGAATTGGAGCACAGATGAAGCCTTGCCACTGAAGCCAATTCAGCAAGTGAGCCTTTGCTTCATGCCTTTCAGGTGTAAAAAATTTTTGCCCAAAAACATTCTAGGAAGAAGGAATGCAAAAGACTCTTCAAAAAAGGACTATACATTTGCAGAGCACAATTGCTATACACATCATCTGATTTAGCAAGATTGCTTCTGAACATTGACCCGTTTGAGAAAGTTGGGCAGAAGGAGAGAAGACTGGATTGAATGCAAAACTAAGAAAAGAGGAGAATAAGGAAATCAACACTGGGAAAAATAGGAACCATACAACAACCAGTTGAAAAAAAAAGAGCAAAGTCCTGAATCATTAGCTGTCTTGCTAATGATCTTCAAAAAGTCATTTCTAAGACCATTAAATTCTCAAACATTTTAGTATAAAAAGTCCTACCTGTCTTCAATTTTCATTTGTTTATTGTTTAATGAACTAAGAAGTATAAGAAAATCAATTGCACTTAATTTAGAAAGGCACTGTCACCTAGAGTAGCCTTTTGGATACGATTTGAATCCTTTTCTGTCACTGGAGGGCTTTTCTCAATTCTTTGATTTTTCTATCTGGACTACTTCTCCAGAGGTTCCAAGACCCTCACAAATGAGACAAAAGCCATAGTTAGTTGAAGCATAGAATAGGTAGAAAGAGGACCTCACCAAGTAGCTCCAAATAAAGTAGCTGTCACTCCGCATTACCTAAATTCTTCCTTCCTCACCTCCCTTCCCTCACATCAATTAACTTTTGGCTCAGGCTGGGTCAATCATATTTCTTTTCTTGAGGATATGTACTAAAATATTGTAATCAGAGGACGTTTGATCCAGGAACTGTAAAATCCAAGAAAAAATTAAATTAAAAATATATTTGGAACTCTATAAAGAATTGACATTCAGATATACAAGGGAAAAATAAAGTGTAATACATATGGATTTATAAGATAAAGGTATATTTTCAAAAGTAATTATTGCTTTTTTTCATGGTAAAATGACATTTCCTACTCATTTAGTAAGTGTAAAATATGAATTTATAATTTCAGCAATAATAATTTTTGTCAGTAATGACAGCAATTAACATTTCACACTGAACTAATAGTATTAGTAAAAATAAAGGGGATATGATCCATTTAGATTCACTTAAATTTATGCACAGGGAAAAAGGCCAAGTAGGCATAGCATATACACAAGTATCCCACCCATTTTTGTTGCCTTTGATTTTTTTTTTAAGTCCACAGCTGACTTCCTCTTAGATTGATGGAAATTACATTTATATTCTAAGGAAATGACATCAAAATGAAGCAGCATTCACTCCTCAGATATCAACTAACAGGAAAAATCAATTAACCACATTTTTCCAATACCAATAAGACACTGCCAAATGGCACCACCACAGTAACACATTTTTTAGAATATTCCTTCCCTTGACCAAGCACAGTGGCTCACACCTGTAATCCCAGCACTTTGGGAGGCTGAGCTGGGCAGATCACTTGATGTCAGGAGTTTGAGACCAGGCTGACCAATATGGTGAAAACCCGTCTCTACTAAAAATACAAAAATTAGCCGGTTGTGGTGGCATGCGCCCATAGTCCCAGCTACTTGGGAGGCTGAGGCAGGAGAATCGCTTGAACCCAGGAGGCGGAGGTTGCAGTGAGCTGAGATCGCGCCACTGCACTCCAGCCTGGGTGACAGAGTGAGTGAGACTCCGTCCAAAAGAAAAAAAAAAAAGAATATTCATTCCCTCAAGGTATGTATTGAGTACTTGTTATGTGTCAAGTATGATTTCAGGAACTGGAAAGAAGGATGAAAACATAAAAGGGCCTTCGTCACAAAAAATGTTACATATTCACCATGCCATTTCCTCTTCTTGGGTTCACAGGAAGAAAATTTTTCTCAGGCTCCATTTTGTGTGGCCACATGAATGAGTTTTGGCCAGTAGAATGCAGAAGAATAATTAAAGCAGCTTCCAGTCCTGCCCCTTAGAAATATCCCTCATGACCTTCTAGCTCTCACTTCCACCTTGGAGGTGAATATTTCAGAGAGTATAGCTACAAGAAGGGGCAGGCTCTCTATACCTGCATCAAACTATGAGGCAAAAGAAGCTTTCGCTGTTAAGCCACTGAGATTTGGGGTTTTATTTGCTACCAATGAGTTGCCTGTCCTAATCTCATAATCTGGAGAACAAAATGACAACAGTGAAAAATTATAACATAATATGGGAAATGCAGAGATAAAGTAATATAGATGAACAGAAAAATACCAAGGGCCTATTACTCAGGGGCTCAGCCGGGGATGGCAACTCATGGGAGGTGACAGTTTACAGTGCCCTAGAATTATGGTAGGATTTTTCAGAATAGAGCAAAACTAAAAGCGGGATTGAAGGAAATGATCTACCATTGCTGTAACGTCCTGTGTCAAGAAATGACTTGGTATCTTCTCAGTCAAAGGCAACCAAGATAGGAAAGGAAAACAAAACACAATTTTAATTTTATTGTGCTGAAACAATACTGAATTACTACTTAGTTAACATAACTAAAAGTATTATTTGGCCAGATACATTTACTGAGTAGTCAGATGGCACTTTCATTATAAATGAATTCATGAGAAAAAGCACCTGGCAGCTTATGCAGACATGTCAAAATTCTCTCCAAAATAGAAGGTATTGATTAATAAGTACCTGATACCCAACAGGTGCTGTCTTCAGATGCAAGCTCTTTCCTGATATCTAGGTAGGTTTCAAAGTTAATGTAGTGATAATCACAATCTATAGCAGCCAGAGGAAGCTGAAGCCATTTCCACTGAATATCCTAATGTGGATGTACAAAATTTCCTCAGAGATGAAACAAAAACTAGGAGCACAGCCAAAAAAAAATTCAAACTCATTTATTATTCAGAGAACGTGGTGCGTTCTGCACTGGTCTCTTCTGAGAAGGTGTGAGGTGAAGACTTTGCTGTGAATTGTCAAATCTGCTTTTCCATGAAGGATGTTTGAATTATAACAGAAAGAAAAACCTGTAGATTTTGGAAAAATGAAGAAAACTGTATTAGAAACAAATGAACAAGGGGTCAAGGGTCTTATCACTGGAAGACAGATGATAACCAGTCCTCAAAGTGCAAAATATGAGGGTATTGAGTTATAGGAAGACAAAGATTGGAGAGAAAAGATCTAGAGCATTGGGAGATCTTTGAGGAGTTTGATCTGTGGCTACTACATTATATCTCTATAAATTCAAGGCAGAAATGAATAATGGTTCTGCAGGTTTGAGGCATATATCATTTCTAAGGTGGTCTTATAGGAACGCGATTATTTCAGAGCAATGGTGATGAAGGCAACCGCTTTATTCTGAATGAAGTGCACCAGGCAGAAGTGTTAAACCTATCAAAAAATTTAAAAGCATTAAGTAAATCTCAAAGTTAAATCTGTGGTTATAATTTTGAATTGAGGGTTTCAACATAATGACCAACCTGTGCACTTATGTATATTCCTACTTGAATAGAAACATGTCAGATATTTCTAAGAAGAAATGATGATAAGGACTAGCCTGGCGAGAGTTTTCTCCTGATAAATAGCAATGTGGCCCCAGCCACTCAGGGCATAAGAAATAGAAAGCTAGCAATATGATTAGAACAATGTGTTTGACTGCTTGACTTTTGTGAACCTCTATTTTATAATGATCTTTATTTTTTTCTCTTCCCATCACTATGTTCTTATTAACTATAATATTTCTGCTACTATTACTGCTGCTCTCCTTTAGTTTCTTGAATAACAGGCAGTTCACCTTTGGTTTGGAAATTAGGAAAGAAGGCAACATGAAAGCTGATGATATTTCACAGCTTTATAAATGAAGTGAAATTCAAATATTAAAATACATTCTTCCATTTTCCTTTTTAGCAATCTTGATTAGGAGCACATGAACCGGCTCTGGGATAAAAGAAATAGTCCCACCAAAAAGGACTGCTTCTTTTTACAGTCTTAATATTTGTCCTTTATTGCAGACATTGTAGCAGAATGCCTTAAAACCTGTGAATGTCCTTGGAAAAAGTGTCCTTGAAAACAGTTCTTGTAACTTTTGCTAAGTGTAATTAGTAATGTGTCTATGTTTGCATTAATTGGAGAATATAATTGGGAAGCCCATTTTTTTCCTGGATCATTCTATATCTCACTAAACTTAACATAAATGTTCAAAGACCCTTGTGAAAATATTTGATGTGTGCTTGCTGAAATTATTCTGTTGTTTCAGGATAAATTTACTCTGGATTTTGTTTTATAAAGGTAGGTTTCCTCACTGACTATCCCCTCCCCAGTTTCCACAGGACATCAGCACTGTCCCCATGAGGATAAAGAACCCCACCCTCTGTGTTTTGGGTGGGGCATCTAAGTGCCCTGGGCCATTAATGACCACTCTGTTTATGCCTAAGGGGGACATGTAGACACCTGTAAAGACAGACTCAGCTGGATGAGCCAGAGACAGTGATGGCCATGGTCCATTGATGGCTTTGCTCAATAGCATTGCAAAGACCAGTTAATGTAGTTTGACTCTAACAGCAAGGAAATCTACAGATTCTTTCTCAGCTTTTCCATGATATCTGACGTATTCCTCTTTTATGGTAGAAAGCTTAAGTGCCACACCCCTTGAGGTCTTCCCTTTGGTTTTGCAAAAGTATAGTTTGGGAATCAAAAGCACGCTAAATGCTTTGTATTCCCGCTCGAACAATCCTCATTCTCTCAAATGCTATGGGATTCTTCTAACAAGGGAAGGTTGTGGCAGAGGGAGAGATACTAGCAAATTTATATTTTCAAAGTTTATCTCATTGCATTTTTATGGAATGAGGCAAAGCATGGCTGGCCATTTCCCCTGGGGTAACAGCATGTATTTGGTGCCTTTGGAATGCCAGGTGTTCTGGATAGCCATCTCCTTTGGTTCAACATCATTTATTTGAATAGAACAATTCCTTACGACTATGAAGTATCCTCATCAAGACCAGAACTATTAGATTGTAAACTCATCATCTTTACACTGCAAGTCACTGTCCCTAGAGAACAAAGTAGCTTTCCCTTCCTCCTAGGTCAGTGGTTCACAAACTTTGCTATAAATTAGAATTACCTGGATGACTTTAAAACTTTTTCCTCACATAAATTGAAACAAAATGTCTATGGGCAGACAAACCAGGTATCAGCAAGTTTAATAGAACAATGGGAGATGCCAGTATATAGTCATGGCCTAGTAACTACTGGAGGGCTTAGGAGTGATCATCAGGCCACTTTATCAGAATAGCTTTCTGATAAAGAAATTAGTGGTGAACAATCTATGGTGACTGGGACTGAAGTGGGCAGTAGGAAGAAGAAGAGACAGGTTTCAGTGAGCTTTAGAAGCAGGTGGTCCTGGAGAGATGAGGATGATGGGGTGGGGGTAGGAGAGTCCTTGTTGGTGGTGTGAATTCATGCAAGAAAATGTTTATCTTTCCCCCCAAGTATGAATATCTGATTAGAAATCAATGTTAAGATAGTTTTATTGGCTGAATTGTGTCCACTCAAAATTCATATACTAAAGCTCTAATTCCTAGTATCACAGAATGTGATGGTGTTTGGAGATAGAGCCTTTAAAGAGCTTATTAAGTTAAAATAAGGCCATGAGGGTAGGCCTAATTCAATCTGACTGGTAATCTTATAAGAGAAAATTTGGGAGAGGGGCTTTAAGATAGCTGTCTAGATTCATCTGGTACTTGCCTTTTCCATGAAGAGGAACCAGAATAGTGAGTAGACAATCAAACTTTGATTAGATCATCTAAGACAAATGCTGGAATTCAACAGAGAAGTGACAGGAAGCACCAAAAGCAAGGAAGGAGAGGGAAGTGAAGCAGCCTGCTGAGCCAGCATTAACTAGGAGCCCAGAGAGGCTCCCTAATGCAGGGAAAGAGTGAGAGACTCCCAGTGGTTCACATTCCCACCCTGGACTCCCACAGTCCTAGCCATGGGACAGCCCCATTAACCCTCAAGGGCTCTAAGACTAACAAAGAGAGCTGCCTGGAGGTCGTACAATGGCATTGCTCCAGAGAGAGACATCTCGCTGAGTCCCACAAACCCCCAAGACCTAAGCAGCTACAGTAGAGCACCATTTTGAAAACCCAATCCGGACCAGACTATGTCCTGCCCCAGGGCGCAACAGCTCCCCACTGCATCTTCACATCCCTAGAGGCTCATTGACGTTCCCCTCTCACAGTTGCAGCTGCCAGTGCCAAGGCAGAAGCCACAGTGACCCTTCTCCTCCTCCCTCCCCATTGTAGAGGAGAAGCTGCACATTTTTATGCATCCTAAGGACAAATTCCACCTCCCACAGCCTCTACAGCTGTGATTTGCTGTGAGGCCTCAGCAAAGCATATGCCCCCAGCCACCTAGCTACAGCTACTGAAAGCAACCCCCACATTTTTCAGTCGGCGGGCCACACACACCTGCTACTGCCCCCACCTGAGCATTCCACCAGCAGCCTATGATCACCCTGCCCCTGCCTACTATCACCAGTGCCTGCATGCACTAACAGGGGGGCCTGAAGACAGGTACACTAAGCCCGGCTCTGCCTTCCTCGCCCAGCCCAGTCCACCATTGTTGGCACCTGACCACACCTTCCAGGGTCTGGAGTCAGGCTCACACAACCTGCCACCAACACCAGAGCTGGCACTCACCCACACCTACTACCTGCAGGCTTGAGGACTGGCCCATCCAGCCCATTGCAGCCACTGCCTATACCAGCATGGACTATGTGGATTCTAGAGGGTTGCCCCACCACTACTACTGACATTGCTCATGCCATGCCCACTACTTAGGGTCTAAAGAATCTGCTCTTCCACATAGCCCCACTGCTACCATTCCCAACACCTGAGCAAGCCACATGGAGACCCAAGAATTGGCCTGCCTGGTCCTACTAACACCGTTGCCAATGTATGCCATCCTGGGGCCCAAGAATGGGCATGATCAGCACACTGCTGCCACCACAGGGGCCCAAATACTGGTCCACCTGATATCATAGTCCCCAGTAAAACTTCACTACAGCCTCCACTAACAACCACACCCTAAACTACCAAGGAAATCACAGACACCACTGATGCTATTTGCAACCAAAGAAATCATACAGAGACTGTGCTACTACTACTAAACCTATGCAGAATCAAAGCCAAAGTGCTCTACCCAACCAACACCATAGATACATCCACAGGAAATATCCTCCCTCTATTAGTCTGCTTTCACACTGCTGATAAAGATATACCCAAGACTGGGCAATTTACAAAAAAAAAAAAAGGAAGTTTACTTGGATTCACAGTTTCACATGGCTGGGGAAGCCTCACAATCATGGCAGAAGGCAAGGAAGAGCAAGTCACATCTTACATGGATGGCACCAGGCAAGGAGAGAGAGCTTGTGCAGGGGAACTCCTCTTTTTAAAACCATCAGATCTCGTGAGATTTTTTCACTATCACAAGAACAGCATGGGAAAGATTTGCCCCCATGATTCAATTACCTCCCACCAGGTCCCTCCCACAACACATGGAAAATTAAGATGAAATTTGGGTGGGAACAAAGCCAAACTATATCATTCCAACCCTGGCCCTCCCAAATCTCACATCCTTACATTCCAAAACCAATCATGCCTTCCCAACAGTCCCCCAAAGTCTTAACTCATTTCAGCATTAACTCAAAAGTCCAGAGTCCAAAGTCTCATCTGAGACAAGGCAAGCCCCATCCACCTATGAGCCTGTTAGTTACTTCCTAGATGCAGTGGGGGTACAGGCATTGGGTAAATACAGCCATTCCAAATGGGAGAAATTGGCCAAACAACAGGAATACAGGCCCCATGCAAGTCTGAAATCTAGAGGGGAAGTCAAATCTTAAAGCTACAAAATGATCTCCTTTGACTCCATGTCTCACATCCAGGTCATAATGATGCAAGAGGTAGGTTTCCATGGACTTGGGCAGCTCCACTCCTGTGGCTTTGCAGGATAGAGCCTCCCTCTCAGCTGCTTCACAGGCTGGCATTGAGTGCCTGTGTCTTTTCCAGGTGCACGGTGAAATCTGTCAGTGGATCTACCATTCTGGGGTCTGGAAAATGATGACCCTCCTCTCACAGTTCCACTAGGCAGTGCCCCAGTAGGGACTCTGTGTGGGAGCTCTGACCCTACATTTCCCTTCTGCACTGCCCTAGCAGAATTTCTCCATGAGAGCTCTGCCCCTGCAGCAAACTTCTGCCTGAATATCTAGGCATTTTCACGCATCTTCTGAAATCTACACTGAGGTTTGCAAACCTCAATTCTTGACTCCTGTACACTCACAGACTCAACACCATGTGGAAGCTGCCAAGGCTTGATGCTTGCACCCTCTGAATCCATGGCCCAAGCTCTACTTTGGCCCCTTTCAGCCATGGCTGGAGTGGCTGGGATGCAAGGCACCAAGTCACAGGGACCCTGGACCCAGCCCATGAAATAACTTTTTCCTCCTAGGTCTCTGGGCCTGTGATGGGAGGAGCTGCCATGAAGACCTCTGACATGCCCTGGAGACATTTTCCCCATTGTCTTTGGGATTAACATTTGGCTCCTGTTTCTTACGTAAATTTCTGTAGCCAGCTTGAACTTCTCCTCAGAAAATGGGATTTTCTTTTCTACTGCATTGTCAGGCTGCAAATTTTCTGAACTTGTGTGCTCTGCTATCCTTATAAAACTGAATGCTTTTAACAGCACCCAAGTAGCCCCTTGAATGCTTTGCTGCTTAGAAATTTCTTCTAACAGATCCCCTAAATCGTCTCTCTCAAGTTCAAAGTTCCACAAGTCTCTAGGACAGGGGCACAATGCCACCAGCCTCTTTACTAAAACATAACAAGAGTCACCTTTGCTCCAGTTCCCAACAAGTTCCTCATTTCCATCTGAGACCACCTCAGCCTGCACCTTATTGTTCATGTCACTATCAGTGTTTTTGTCAAAGCCTTTTAACAAGTCTCTAGGAAGTTCCAAACTTTCCCACATTTTCCTGACTTCTTCTGAGCCCTCCAAACTGTTCGAAAGTCTGCTTGTTACCCAGTTCCAGAGTTGCTTCCATGTTTTCAGGTGTCCTTTCAGCAGCGAACCACTCTACTTGTACCAATTTACTAGTAGAGTTTATTAGTCCATTTTCACACTGCTGATGAAGACATATCCAAGACTGGGCAATTTACAAAAAAAAGAGCTATTGGACTTACAGTTCCATATGGCTGGGGAAGCCTCACAATCATGGCAGAAGGCAAGAAAGAACAAGTCACGTCTTACATGGATGACAGTGGGCAAAGGGAGAGAGCTTGTTCAGGGGAACTCCTCTTTTTAAAACCACCAGATCTCATAAGACTTATTCACTATCACAAGAACAGCACAGGGAAGACTTGCCCCCATGATTCAATTACCTCCCACCAGGTCCCTCCCAAAACACATGGAAATTCAAGATGAGATTTGGGTGTGACACAGCCAAACCATATCACTCCCCTATGAAGCATAAATTCAAAAAAGAAAAAAAACTTTTACACTAGATATGCAGATATTATTATAAGGACAAAGGAAGAACCAAGGAGATATGACACCTCCAAAGGAACACAATAATTCCCCATTAATAGATCGCAATCCAAAAAACATTTATGAAATACCAGAAGAGGAATTCAAAATATTGATATTAAAAAAGGTCAATGAGATACAAGAGAATACTAAAAAACAACACAAGGAAGTCAGGGGAAAATTGAGGATATGAATTAGAAATTTATGAAAGAGATAGATATCATAAAAATGAGCTAAAAAGAAATTCTGGAACTGAAGAGTTCATTGAATGAAATACAAAAATACATTCAAAACTTCAACAATAGACTAGATCAAGCAGAAAAATGAATCTAAGAACTTGAAAACAGGTCTTTTGCATTAACCCAGTCAGACAAAAATAAAAAGAATGAGCAAAGTCTACATAATGTATGGGACACCATAAAAGTATAAAATTTTTCGCGTCCCAGAGGCAAAGAGACAACAATAGTGTTGGAAAACCTATTTGACAAAATAACAGATGCACACTTCCCACGTCTAAGAAGAGATTTAGACATCCAGATATAGGAGGCTCAGATATCCCTAAATACATACAGTAAAAAAAAAAAAAAAAAGATCTTCTCCAGGGCACATTATAATCAAACTGTCAAAAGTCAAAACCAGAGAGAATTCTAAAAATAGCAAGAGAAAAGTATCTGCCCCAACATATTAATAGTGAGTTTCTCAGCAGGAACCTTAGAGGCCAGGAGAGAATGGGATAATATATTCAAAGTGCTAAAAGAAAATAAAAATAAAGCCTGTCAGCCAAGAATACTATACCTAGCCACACTAACCTTGATAAATGAAAATGACATAAATGCTTTCCCAGATAAATGAAAGCTGAGAGGATTTATCACCACTAGAGCAGCCCTACAAGAAATGCTTAAGGGAGTCCTACACCTGAAAATGAAAGAACTGAAAGAACATATTTAACATCATGAAAACACATAAATATTAAAAAAAAAAACCCCCTGGTTGAGCAAACACATAAACAAGGAAGAGAAAAGATGCAAATGTTACTACTGCATAAAATCACCAAACCACGATGATAAAAAGAAAGAAAGAAAGGAAGAGACCAGGCATGGTAGCTTAAGCCTGTAATCTCAGCAGTTCAAGAGGCTAAGGTGGGTGGATCACTTGAGCTCAGGAGTTTAAGATCAGCCTTGGCAATGTGACAAACCTCCATCTTTCCAAAAAAATACAAAAATTAGTTGGGCATGGTGGTGGTACATGCCTGTGGTCCCAGTTACTTAAGAGGCTGAGTTAGAAAGATTACTTGGGCCTGGGAGGTTGAGACTACAGTGAGATGAAATCACACCACTGCACTCCAGGCTGACCCTGCCTAACAAAAAAAAAAGAGGAAGGAAGAAGGAGGGAGGGAGAGAGAGAGAAAGGAAGAAGGAGTGGGGAAAGAGAGAGAGAGAGAAAGAAAGAAAGATTAAAACAGGTAGAAATCAATTAATAAAATGACAGGAATAAGCCTTCACATCTCAATAATAACTTGAATATAAACAAATTAAACTTTCCACTTAAAAGACATAGACTGGCTGAATGGTTAAAAAAAAAAAAAAAAAAAAACCTGACCCAACTATATACAGCCTACCAGAACTAATCTTACTTATAAGGACATATATAAACTAATAGTAAAGGGATGAAAAAAAAATATTCCATGCAAATGGAAATGAAAAGAGAGCAGGAGTAACTATACTTATGTCAAATAAAACAGACTTTAAGTCAAAAAAAATAACAAGAGATAAAGAAGCTCATTATATAGTGATAAAGGGATCAATTCAGCAAGAGTATATTCTAAACATATAGGCACCCAACTGGAGCACCCAGATACATGAAGCAAATATTATGAGATCTAAAGGGAGAAATGCACTCCAATACAATAATAGCAGAGGATTTCAACATCCCACTCTGCATTACACAGAGTATCTAGACAGAAAATTAACAAAGAAACATTAGATCTAAATTACACATTAGACCAAATGACATAACAGACATTTACAGAACATTTCATCCAATAGCTACAAAATATTCATTCTTCTCATTAGCACATGGAACATTCTCCAGGACAGACCATTTGTTGATACACCAAACAAATTTCAAAAAATTATTAAAGATAAAATTATATCAAATATCTTCTCAGAGCAAAATTGAATAAAACTAAAGAGCATACCAGTCAGAATGGCTATGATAAAAAAGTCAAAAAAAAAAAAAAACCAGTTGGTGGTGAGGTTGCAGAGAAAAAGGAATGTTTACACATTGTTGGTGGGAGTGTAAATTAGTTCAATGATTGTGGAAAGCAGTGTGTCAATGCCTCAAAGAGCTAAAATCCTAACTACCATTCAATCCAGCAATCCCATTACTGGGTATACCCAAAGGAATATAAATTGTCCTATTATAGAGATACATGCATGTGTATGATCATTGCAGCACTACTCACAATAGCAAAGACATGGGATCAAACTAAATGACCATCAGAGGAAGACTTTATAAAGAAAATGGGCTGCATGCGGTGGCTCACGCCTGTAATCCCAACATTTTGGGAGGCCAAGGTAGGTGGCTTACGGGGTCAGCAGTTCGAGATAAGCCTGCCAATATAGAGAAACCCTGTCTCTACTAAAAATACAAAAATTAGCCAGGCATGGTGGCGGACACCTGCAGTCCCAGCTACTTGGGAGGCTGAGGCAGTAGAATCGCTTGAACCTGGGAGGCAGAGGTTGCAGTGAGCTGAGACTGCACCACTGCATCCAGCCTGGGTGACAGAACAAGACTCCTTCTAAGAAAAGGAAAAAAAAAAAAAAGAAAAGAAAATGGGGTACATATATACCATGGAATACTATGCAACCATTAAAAAAGAACGAAATCATGTTCTTTGCAGGAACATGGATGGGAGCTAGAGGCCATTATCCTTAGCAAACTAATGCAGGAACAGAAAACCAAACACCACATGTTCTCACTTATGATGGGAGCTAAATGATGAGAACACAGGGACACAAAGAATGAACAGACACTGGGGCCTACCAGAGGGTGGTGTCTGGGAGAAGGAAGAGGAGCAGAAAAAAATAACTATTGGGTACTAGGCTTAGTACCTGGGTGATGAAATAATCTGTACACCACACCCTTGTAACACAAGTTTACCTATATAACAAACCTGAACTTAAAATAAAAGGTGTTTTTTTTTTTTAAATAAAAATAAATGGCTGAGTGTGGTGGCTCATGCTTGTAAACCCAGCACTTTGGGAGGCAAAGGTGGGCAGATTGCTTGAGCTCAGGAGTTCAAGACCAGCCTGGACAACATGGTGAAACACTGTCTCTACCAAAAATGCAAAAAAAAAAAAAAAAAATAGCCTGTCATGGTGGTGTGTGCCTCGAGTCCCAGCTACTCAAGAGGCTGAGATGGGAGCATCATTTGAGCCCAGGAGGCAGAGGTTTCAGTGAGCCAAGATTGTGCCATTGCACTCCAGCCTGACTGAGAGAGTGAGACCCTGTCTCAAAAAATATAATAAAATAAATTTTAAAAATATATAAATAAATAAATATAGTGGCAAAACCCCTTCCCTCCACCAAAAAAAAAAAAAAAACAAAACAAAAAAAGTCACATATGAAAAATCTACACCTAACATTACACTCAGTAGGGGAAAGCTGGAAGCCTTTCCTCTAAGAACTGGAACAGACAAAGAAGCCCACTTTTACCACTCCTATTCAACATAGTACTAGAAGTCTCAGCCAGAGCGATCAAGCAAGATAAGAAATAAAAGGCATCCAAATTGGAAAAGAGGAAATCAAATTGTTCCTCTTTGCTGATGATATCATCTTATATCTAGGAAAACCTAAAGACTCCACCACAACTCTCTTTGATTTGATTTTAAAAAATTCAGTTAAGTGTCAGGAAACAAATTAAACATATAAAAATCAGTAGCATTTCTATACAGCAAGAATGAACTATCTGAGAAAGAAATCAAGAAGGCAATCCCATTTGCAATAGCTACAAAAAAATTGCTTAATAATAAATTTAACAGAGGAGGTGAAAAATCTCTACAAGGAAAACTACAAAACGCTCATGAAAGAAATTGAAGAGGACACAAATAAATGGAAAGACATTTCATACTCATAGATCAGAAAAATTAATGTCATTAAAATAACCAAACTGCCCAAAGCAATCTACAGATTCAATGCAATTCTTATCAAAATACCAACATCATTTTCACAGAATCAGAAAAGAAATCCTAAAATTCATATGGAACCAAAAAGAGCCCAAATAGACAAAACAATTCTAATCAAAAGAACAAACCTGGAGGCATCACACTATCTGACTTCATATTAGACTATAGTAGCCAAAACAGCATAGTATTTGTATAAAGATAGACATATAGACCAATGGAACAGTATAGAGAACCCAGAAATAAAGCCACGCATATACAGTCAACTGATCTTAGACAAAGCCAACAAGAACATACACTGGGGGAAAGACACTGTCTTCGCTAAATGGTGCTGGGAAGATTGGATCACCATATGCAGAATAATAAAACCAGACACCCTATCTCTCACCATATACCAAAATCAACTCAAGATGGATTAAAGAATTAAACACAAGACAGGAAACTATAAAACTACTAGAAGGGCCGGGCGTGTTGGTTCACGCCTATAATCCCAGCACTTTGGGACACCGAGGCAGGCGGATCACATGGTCAGGAGATTGAAACCATCCCAGCTAACACGGTGAAACCCCATCTCTTCTAAAAATACAAAAAATTAGCCGGGCATGGTGGCACACGCCTGTAGTCCCAGCTACTCGGGAGGCTGAGGCAGGAGAATCGCTTGAACAGGGAGGCAGTGAGCCAAGATTGCGCTACTGCACTCCAGCCTGAGTGATAGAGCGAGACTCTGTCTCAAAAAAACAAAAAAACAACAACAAAAAAAAACTAGACGGAAACATTTCAGGATGGTGGCCTAGGCAAAGATGCTGTGGCTAAGAGAATGCAAAAGCACAGGCAACAAAAGCAAAAGTAGACAAATAGGACTATATTAAACTAAAAGGCTTTTATACAGCAAAGAAAGCAACAGAGTGAAGAGAGAAGCTGTTGAATGGGAGAAAATATTTGCAAACTATGCATTTGACAAAGGACTAATATCCAAAATATATAAGGAATTCAAACAACTCAATTAAAAATAATAAGAATCCCTTTAAAAACTGTCAAAAGATGGCGCACGGTGGCTCACGCCTGTCATCCCAGTACTTTGAGAGACTGAGGCAGGAGTATTAGCTTAAGTTCAAGGGTACAGTGAGCTACGATTGTACCACTGCACTCCAGCTCCAGTGACAGAGTGAGATCTTATCTCAAAAGAAAAAAAAAGGTGGGCAAAGGACATGAATAGACGGTTCTCAAAAGAAGACATATAAATGGACAACAGGTACATGAAAAAAATGCTCAACATCACTAATCATCAGGGAAATGCAAATCAAAACCCCCAATGAGCTATCATCTTACCCTAGTTAGAATGGCTATTATTAAAAAGGCAAAAAATAACATGCTGGCAAGAATGCATAGAAAAGGGAACACTTATACATCGCTGGTGGGAATGTAAATTAGTACAGTCACTATAGAAAACAGTATGGAAATTTCTCAAAATTAAAAATACAAGTGCTATACAATCCAGCAATCCTACTACTTGATATTTATCCTAAGGAATAAGCAATCAGTACGTCAAAGGGATATCTGCATTCACATGTTTATTGCAGCCCTCTTTCACAATAGCAAAGATATGGAATCAACCTAAGTGTCTATCAACAGACAAATGGATAAAGAAAATGTGGTATATACACACTACAAAATAATAATTAGCCAAAAATAAATAAATCCTGTCATTGGCATAAACATGATGGAACTAGAAGTAATTATATTAAATGAAATAAGGCAGACACAGAAAGACAAATTTTACATGTTCTCACTCATAAAGGGGAGCTAAAAAAATGTTGATCTCATGGAGGGGGAGAGTAGAATGACTGATACAATCGGCTGGGAAGGTATCAGGGGAGTAGGGGGTGAAGAGAGTGCAGTCAATGGGCACAAACATACAGTAGATAGAAGGTATAGATTCTGATATTTGATAGCTGACTAGGGTGATTATAATTAGCAATAACATACTGTGTATTTCAAAGTAGCTAGAAGAGAGAACTTGAAATATTCCCAACACATAGAAATGACAAATATTCAAGGTGATGGATACCCCAAATATCTTGACTTGATCATCACACTTTCTATGCATGCAATGAAATATCACATGTACCCCCATAAATACATAAATATTATGTATAATTTTTTAAAATAGAAGAGGAAACTTGGACACATGGAAGATACCAGGGGCACTCATGCACAGAGGCACAACCATGTGAAGAGGTAACAAGGGGAGATTCATTTGCAAGCAATGGAGAAGGGCTTCAGAGGAAATCTACCTTGCCAGCACTTTAAACTTGGAATTCCAGCCTACAGAACTGTCAGAAAATAAATGTTTATTGTTTAAGCCATCTAATCTGTGGTAATATTTTGTTTTGGAAACCCTAGCAAACCAATAAGGATAGTATTAAAAGACTGGAATAATAAACATTTGAAATTCTGTTAAGTATAGATTGTATTGAATTACCAATGCAACTGGTCTTAATCCAAATAAGTTTCTTAAAGCTTTTCAAGTTGTCATCAGTTTTTTTGTGAAGTAAGCATAATCGTTTCTCCACTACCTTGTATTTTGCCCACTCCTTACCTTCTTAAATCCCACCCAACCTTCAAGGTCCAGTGCTAGTTCTACCCTTCCAGGAAGTCTCAGGTCACCCAAATTCTCCATGCTTCCTCCCTTCTCTGAACCCTCAGGACTAGTGATCTGTGCTTTCAAGTTGCCTCCTAGTCATAAATTGACCTTTGACATATCAAATGTTCTTGCTTCATTGGCAATTTAATTCTCCTTATGTTCTGATCTAACTATTCATTTTCTATATCTTCTATAAAGTCTGATAAGGCTCTTGTAGAAATATTGATTGATAAGTAATTAAGAAGGCTTCTACAGACACTACCACACTTTGTACCTGAACTTAATTAAATCTCAAAAGATCAAAGAGGGGATAGAAAGATTTTCTTTCTGTAAAGGCTGTGTCACAATCAGTGATCAGCCTTTTAACATTGATGAGCAGTCACAAGTGACTTTGAGACCTGTAAATGGTTATTTTCTAATTCCAAGTGAAGTTAAAAGATGATGGAGAAGGAATATAGCCTAAAGGCCATGGCTAGTCATCTTTTATACTTGGACATGGTCCAGTGGGCAGAAGAAAAGGATCTCCTACAAACAAAATGGAGACTGGTGCTAATGACTAGATTTAAAACTTCAAAATCTTCCTAATTAGACCCTAGTCTAATACCACTTGATAAAATTATGTTGGAGAAACAATGTCCTTGTACATTGTCAGATGACATAATCTGTCACAGCTCAGTGAGTCATAACATTAGTTTAAAAATACTAGAATTAAGTCACCATGTTTTATTGAACAATAAGGTAGAATTGAATTATTCTTTTCCTGGTTTTTAATCATATATCCATGAGTCTCTCTGTTTTGTGGTATGATTAAACATAGGATGGTGGCCAAGCCAAAAAATAATTAAAAAGAGGAAGTAGAATATAATAAGTCACGTTTTGAATATCTCCCTACAGAATGTTTTCATCTATTTTTTTTTTAAAGAGAGGTGCATCATCTGTGAAGCATGAATGGCATCAAGAATTGGCTCTCAATTTAAAAAGGAGCCCCTGGACGTTGCCTTCCAGGCAACATACGAGCCGTTGCTTACCCTGTACTTCACTCTTTCAGTCTGCCTTGGTAGCAAATTTTGAGGGTACTGAGTGAGAATTTTTATCTTTTTCTTCCCTGTGTCTCTTAGCTATTGCTGTGTAATAATTTTTAAACAGTAAAAACACCAATCTCCCTCAGTGTCATACAGTCACAAATATTTATTCAGTGTGCACAGGGGTCAGCTGAAAGATGACTGATCCGGGCAAGCTCACCTGGACGGCATTGCAGTCTTGACTGGACTGCCTGTGCATCCCTCCTCCTCCTCCTCTTGGATTGCTCTTGTCTGCTCTCATGGTGATGGCAAAGGTGCCAGAGCTCATGCCCAGTCACACCTGTGCTTCTCATGCCTCTGCCTGGGTCACATCTACTAACACTTCTTGACAAAGCAAGTCACATGGGGCCTTAGTTTGTTTGTGCTACTGTAACAAAATACCACAGATCAGGTAATTTATAAACAACAAAAATTTATTTTTCACAGTTCTGGAGACTGGTAAGTCCAAGATCAAGGCACCAGAAGGTTTGGTGTCTGGTGAGGGCCCTGTCTCTACTTCCAAGATAGCACCTTGTTGCTGTATCCTCCAGAGAAAAGGAGAGCTGTGCCCTCACATGACAGAAGGGACAGAAGAGTAGGGGGGAATTTCCTTCAACCTCAGGAACTTTTATAAAAGTGCTAATCCCATTTGTGAGAGAGGATCCCTCATGACTTGATCATCTCCCAGAGGACACACCTCTGAATACTGTTGCATTGGGGATTAAGTTTCATATGAAAATTTTTGTGGGTGTGAGGGGGTACTCATCGTTCAAACGATAGCACACAGCTACATCCCAAATCTATGAGATGAACATATGATCTGCCTTGTAGTGAGAGAAGCTAGGAAGTTACACGGAAAGGAAAGTGGATACCAGGTGGGATAAATAAGTAGGGGCATTACTCTCTTTACCACACTCATTGTTTTTTATTTTTCTTTATTAATCCACTTATTAAAATTTACTGTGGTGAACATCAGTTATATGCAAGGTGACCCCCCTTTTAGCACATCATTTTTAAAGTAGCTTTCCTAGATGTTAGGGTAATTTCCATGATATGAGAAACTTCTGCCCCTTTTCAGTATGAGATTAATCTTCAAAATTCCCAGCTTCATTTGCTGTGAGAACACAAACAGGTAAAGTGGGTGCTGCCGGAGACCTGGAGCTTCTATTTTGCTATTCGTGGTGGGCAAGACTTGGAGAGCAGTAGCAGCAGAGGCTGTCTAGGAGTGGCCAGGTTGAAGCAATCAACCAGAAGTTGCACTGGGGCTGAGAGAGTAGAAACTGCAATGAAGATAAGTTTCTGATATTTACCATTTGACCACAGTGGTGGCAGCTTCCTTACGAGGCCAGCTCTGCATCACCTGATGCAAGAATTTTGGCATGTTTCTCCAACCCTCCCAAAGATTCTGTGAGTTCTCCACACTCCTTTATGTTCAAACTAATCAGAGCAGATTCGTTGAATACCGACCGCCATTGAGCAACTACTCTACACAGAGCAAATTTTTTGCTAGATTTTTTTGGAGATGTCAGCTATTATTTGGGTGCAAGAATGAATTTATGTGAAGTCTCTGAGGTAGCTTACACAATAATGAAATGTCAGTTAAAAAAGGAGATTTGGAAAGGGAAGAAATTAGGAAATCTCTGAACATTCAGACAGTAAAAACTCAGGGCACCAATATTTATATGAATTGCCTCTAACCTCTTTTTCCTGTACTTAAGTCATTCTGCTGAAGGTTCAGTTTTGAGATACAGAATCTGTAGAGGAAAAGAAAAATCTTTCCTTCCTGTCTTAGGTTCATGGCTGAGACTCATGAAAAAAAAGAAGAGAAAAGCATACACATTTATTTAATATAAGTTTTATGCGACACAGGAAACTTTGGCAATTAAGTCCCAAAGAAACAGGTGTTGGGAGGCTGAGGTGAGGGATTGCTTGAGGCCTGGAGTTCAAGACCAGCCTGGGCAATATAGTGACACAAAAATTTAAAAATCAGCCAGGCATGGTGGTGCATGCCTGTAGTTCTAGCTACTCAGGAAGCTGAGGCGGAGGATCGCTTGAGCCCAGTAGTTCAAGGCTGCAGTGAGCTATGATTACACCACTGCACTCTAGCCTGGGCAACAGAGTGAGACCCTATCTCTAAAAAGAGAGAAGTAAAGAAAGAAAGAAACAAGTAAACCTGTATATTTTTAACAATAGGCTTTTTTTTTTTTTTTTGAGACAGAGTCTCAAATGAAGTGGCACGATCTTTGCTCACTGCAACCTCTGCCTCCTGGGTTCAAGCAATTCTCCTGCCTCAGCCTCCCAAGTAGCTAGGATTACAGGCGCATGCCACCATGCCCAGTTAATTTTTGTATTTTTAGTAGAGATGGGGTTTCACCATGTCGATCAGGCTAGTCTCAAGCTCCTGACCTCAAGTGATCCACCTGCCTCAGCCTCCCAAAGTGCTGGGATTACAGGCATGAGCCACCGCACCCGGCCTTTAATGATAGGTTTGATGAAGAAGTGGATAGTCATGGAGAAGTATGAATTGACAAAGCAGGTATGATCTAATGGTAATAACTGGGAAAAACTTAGCAAGGCCCGTTTGTTCAGACTCTTCGCTGTGTCCTTGTATATTCAAAGGTAAATATGTTCCTTTCCTCCAGGTACATAAAGGAAAGACACCTTTTGAATTAGGGTTTTATGACCTGCTTCAAGGGAGAAGAGCTGGACTTTCCTAGGTTTTACGACCTGCTTCAGTGAAGAAAAGGGAAGGGAATGTGAGAGAACCTTCCTGTTTCAGTTGTTTTCTCAAATCCCAAGGTACCTTATTTTGGGGTACAGTGTCCCGAATCCTTTTAAATCCAACTAGCTTCACTTAGATCTCATGCCCACTCCTTGGAGAGTAGAGATAAGAAAACTTTAGTGATGTTCCCTCCAAGACTTTACCTTTTGGGATATTGGTAATTCCTCAAAAAGAAAGAGGAATGCTTAATTGGAAAAAGAGGAAATGGGTGTTATGTAGTGAAAAACAAAACAAAATAAAAAACAGAGATCAAGAAGAATAACCAACCCAAACCAAATATCCACAACAGATCAGAGATGACTCAGGCTTCTTATCTGTTATTGGGAAGCTTACATTTTAGTAGAAAAGATAAACACTCAATCTTCATTTATTTTTCAATATTAGGACTCCAGTCATTGGATTTAGGGCTCAACCAAACTAGCATGACTTCATGGTAACTTATCTAATTATATCGGCAAAGACTGTATTTCCTGGTAAGGTCACATTCTGAGGTTGTGGGTGGACACGTATTTTGGGGTAACACTATTTGACTCACGACAACACCCACAGGCTTCAGAATGAATCTAGACTTTCACCTCAGGTGAAAATTATCCCCAGAAATCATTTGTTCATGTAGATGCAATATAAATATATTTTTTAGATGATATAAAATTTTCTTGTGATAAAAATATGCACTTGATAATTATTAAGCAAGTTTAAATATGACATTGGCACATCTTAATTTAGATACAAGAAAAATATCCACTTTAGATATTTTTCTCCCATATAAATGTCATTCTTTGCAGTGACTAAGAATTAGAGGTTATGTATCAGAAAACGTCTTTCTAGAGAAAGAAAATTTCTTTCTTGGACACTGTGTAGTTAAATAAAGAATATATTCCCTGTATTAGTCTATTGGTGACATTACTTTTCAGACCACAGAGAATTAAATAAACCTAGAGTGATTCTTATTAGGCTTAGAAATTCTGTCATCGTTAGATAAATTAAGCTGTTTTCCACTGATTTATGTAAAGTGTAATTAACAAATTAATACATATGAAGGTAAGATAATAGAAACCACCAAGCAATAATGTAGTTTTGTTGTGTTTTTGAAAATTACTGAAAGTAATGGCAAAGCTAATCTGCTATAAATTTCTTTTAATTAAACAGTGTTTAGAATAACAATTTTTTTTTCTCAACTCAGCCTATCTCATACTATTCTGCATGTTTTTCATCTTTACATACTCAGGACGTGTTCTAACATTGCCATTATTTTCTGTATAGTATCATATTGATTAATAATCATGTAATTATACTACAGGGTTAGAATAATGTTTTAGGTTTGTTGGCTTAAAACCAAAAGCTATTTCAACTATGATTTTTTCATTTAAAATAATAAATATTATCATTGTAATACCCAGCCAGATACATTTATGGTGGTTAAAAACTCATAATAATTATTAATGTAAGGCAAAGCATAAAATACTAGTAATCTGAGGCAACATAATCTAGGACACCCTTATGTGGAAAAGTGATGCTACTTATTAATTTATTGTAATTTGTATTTATACACTAAAGCCTAGGGCGTCAATACAAATCATACAACAATTGATCCATAGGTGATAAGAGACTTTCTTAACAACTGTTTATTCAAATTTTATCAAAAGACAAATGTGAAGGAGTTGTGTTAATGAACATTATATACTTTGCTTCCTGGGGGATTGTGAGAACTGGAGAACTAAAGACCTCCTGTGTGGCACAACTTCTGAAATCTAATATTTAACAAATGCCATGATATTTAACCATGGGCGCTCCCCATGGTTTACAGTGACCACACAAACAACTCTGAAGGGTCTCAGGCCAATTTACACATCTAGGCCTGTCCCAGAAATGATATGACCTCCAGCGACATTTGTCTTTTCCTGAATGAGACCAAGGAAAAGCATAGCCCACTTGGGCCTAACTCTGAAAGAGTTGACTTCCCCAGCTCTCTCTCCAGCTTGACTTCCTGAATTTTTCCATCTCACCCTGCTCCTGGCACTAACTCCATGACCCATGGTATTTTGTAAAATACTCCTTTCAGACCCTCAGAATTTTTTTTTCCCATACAGGTACCTAAATCATCCTTTCTGGATAATAGTGGTTTGAGACTGAGATGGTAAGGTGACCATGCATAGAGTTAAATGGGCACCTGGAACATTAGTGAGAACATTTCTGATTAAATATATCTACCATGAAATGCCTCAGGCTTTGACCTACACCGATAAATCCTTGTTTCTTAACAGCAAATGAAATTCCTGCACAGGTTGCTGGGTTTGTCCTCAACAGCTCTCTTCCTTCCTCCTATTACAGAGGGAATGACTTTCCGAGAAATCAGTTGAAATATTTCTTACTAATTTGAAGGTTAAGAGCAGGCACAGAATCAATGGAAAAAGTAGAATGCTGTTTTCTTTCCTGATTCCTCTTTTGACATTTTAATATAAATCAGAGAGATCCTCAGGCTTCTATCCTGGGAGATTTACAATTCAAAGCAAAGGAAAACTTTCTTTTATTCCTTGTTTAAAAAAAAACCCAAACCATCCAAACAAACAAAAACACAGTTCTAAACTATTCTTTGATCTGGTGAGTGGTTTTGTATTATATTATTTTAATATAAAAGTAATTATACACAAACATAAAATATTTTATCTATTATTTCTTGGATTGCCTTCTATGCCCTTGAATCTTCTTTTATATTTTACATCTCTTTCTCTGTCTCACTATCTTGTGCTGCTCTGTGTGACTTGCTCAACTTTTTGGTTTCACCTTTTGGCTGATTTGCTTTTGCAATTGTGTTTTAAATGCTCATCAACTCTTTCTTATTCTCTGATTGATCCTTTTTCTTACCAGTCTGTTCTTTGTATATGGATGCTATATACAAAATATAATATATATCATATTTATATATATATATATATATTTTTTTTTTTGAGATGGAGTCTCGCTTTGTCGCCCAGGCTGGAGTGCAGTGGCGTGATCTAGGCTCACTGCAAGCTCCGTCTGCAGGGTTCACACCATTCTTCTGCCTCAGCCTCCCAAGTAGCTGGGACTACAGGCACCTGCCACCACGCCCTGCTAATTTTTTGTATTTTTAGTAGAGACGGGGTTTCACTGTGTTGGCCAGGATGGTCTCTATCTCCTGACCTCATGATCCGCCCACCTCGGCCTCCCAAAGTGCTGGGATTACAGGCATGAGCCACCGCACCCGGCCGCTATATATATTTTTAATCTCTACCACAACAGTAATTATTTTTTTAAAAAAGCACTACATTTCCCTAAGTTATGTTTTTCAGTGTCTATTCATTTCTGCTTGTTCATCTCTATCTTTCTCTTTTATGCTACCAATAAATGCTAAGGCATGATTTTGCCTTTATGCACTTGAATGAGGGAGTGAGTGACCAATCTAGTACGTCACAGGGCTTCTGTATCTGACTCATGCTCTTCCACAAAAGAGAGAAGTGACTGCCAGTTCTGGGGTGAGAAATGGCAGATGCTGCCTGAGGGTGCAAGGGTCTCCTCCTTCCTGCCCGTGACTAATGTCAACCTTAAATAACAAGGTTCAGAAAAATATGAAGAAGTATAGAGTTTATTTCCCCACAAAGCTTAAGGATAGCCACGTGGGAGACACTGACACTAAACCTATGTGGTCAGCGTTCTTAAGTGGAGAAGTGAAGGTTCCACTTATATAGGCAGAGACTAAGAAATTTTAGCAGGATTGCAACATTTTCCATAGGAGACCAGTGTATATGTTACAATTATTTGACTGGTTACATATTTCTACATTCCAAGGAAGATTATTATTCCATGAGGATAGGTAAAGATCTAAGGAGATACACAGGCACACACACACACACACACACACACACACACATCATGTTGCTGGAGCTCAGAGTACAGGTTACTATGCTCAAAACAACTATTGGTTAGTGATCACATTTTTTCAAGATCAAAAAGGGATATTTTTAGCATTTTACATCTTAACATAAGAGTTTATTACTTATCTAAAGTTGGTTTACTGTGTTATAGTTACTTTTAGGAAACTGGTTAGGAATTTTGAGTTGACACGTTATAATTATTCTCAGTTAAATAAGGAGAATATGCTCATGATTAGTATTTTCATGTGGAACATGTAATTTTTCAGAAACGGATTCTAATGCTAATTGAGAGAGGCCTGTATTAGACTTTCTATTTGGAATTTTTCTCATCTTGAATTTCTATTTTATGCTTTATAATATAGATAATGCATTAGTATAGCATACAAATATTAATTTGGAAAAATAAAGATATATCTGGGAGCAAGGCTGAAGTTTTTTTAAAGTTATGAGATCAGTATAGTGGAGGGTGTCTTTCTACCTGCATCCTGGAGGCCAACAGTGCTGTGGTAGAAGGAGGCTTAGAGATGAGTGTGGGCATTGAGTGCCTTCGTAGACATTCTGTAATTCAGTCTTGAGTCCATTCTCTTGGTTTCTTCCCCTTTTCCCCATCCTGTCCTTCTTATCTGACAACTTTAGGAAACTCTGCTATAAAAAATGGCTTTTGCTTCTTCTGCCCTTGTCTCTCTATGGCTCTCTCCATTCTGGTTTATCCATCATTATGACCCTTTTCAGAAACACATTTTGGGTTAGCTGCTGTTTCCATTCCACTTCCCAGTTGGGCTCAACACTCCACTTTAGTGTGTTTATAAATTTATTATTCTCAGAACTTCTTTAGTGTAATTCAAGGTGTTTGGGGGACAGAGGAGGGTTAAACATATGGTTTAGTCCCCTCCTTTGGGCAGACCCCTTGGTTCCAGGGAATCCAATGGGACATGGACACAGCTGGCATCAGAGACTCTGAACCTGGGTGCCAAGAAGAAGCACACCCAGATGGCCAGAGAAACTCCTCCCCAGGACTCTCCTTTCCTAATTTGGGGACTCTGTTAATATCAGAGTTATGTTAGCTAAATGGTTTCTTTAAGTTGAGGCAAGATTTCTCCTCTGAGGGTAGGCTGGCAGATAACAAAGTAATTATGTATTAACAAAAAAAAAAATTAAAAATCAGTCCACTGCTGACAACAGTACATTTGTGATGATGGAGATGACTTGTAGGTCAGTTCTAAGCATTCCAAGTTTAGGAGTACTCTTCAATCTGAAGATTTCACCCCACTACCTAAAGAGTCATCACCTAAAAACACTGAAAAGATCAAGGATGCCAAAACAGGGCAGGTAGGTCTGAATCTGATGCCATGAAAAACACTCCGAAATTATGCAATTTTAATTGCTTCTCATCCTTTTGGCTGAGATCAAGTGTAGAAATTATGTGATTTTTGCCTCTCCCATTGGGATCCCTGAGGAAAGAGATGGTATCCATTTTCAAATTGAAATCCATGACTCAAAACCTGCTCCTGTGGTTTAATCCCCACCTCAGTGTTTATTTGTGTAGATGCAACCTAAATGACCTGATTTATTTCTTATTCATTTCATTTGAACAACTACATAATCATACTACAAGAATAGAGCCTTGAGGAGTTGAAAGGTGAGTGAGAATGTGGGAGAGTTGCAGCTAATTTCAATGTAAGAAGGGCAATTAAATCAAATATAACTTGGTCAGCAGAACTGCATGGAGAGACAAGTGACTTATAAATAGAATTTCAAGATGGAAGGATAAGGACAAAAGTGTCTTCCTGTGACTGCATTCTCAATGATAACTTGACAAAGATTCAAGGGCCCAAAAATTATGGAGGAGAAAATGTCTAGCCTTTAGCCCGATGTCTAATTACAATAAAAGAATGCAATAAAATATACCAGAATGCAAAACTACACATAGAGATTAAAAATTAGAGAAAATTATTCCAGTTCTGAAACAGATACTAATGAGACCACAGTAGGAATTACCACCCAGTTGTTGAAACCTTGTTAAAGCAAAGGAAGCTTAAAAAAAAAGAGAAGATTTTTGAATCACGACATGATTCAAATGAAAGGGGAATCCAGATACATACAAAAGTTAAAGATCATAATTTCTTTTAACAGAAATGATCATGTGAAGGTATGGCAGAACCTGACAAAGCAGAAAATACAGACTCAGCAGGGTTAATGGAACATGTTTTAAACCAAAGCTCTGGATTTTTCATGGCCATATAACATGATTTGAACATAGAAACAACTCTCTTTACATGAGATGCAATTACTATAGAAGTGAATTATATAGGAGCAATGGATGTTGAAAGCAAGATACGCAGATGAATGCTGGGGATTGTTTTTTTAGTTGCAGGGACAAAGCTAACAGTTATACCAAGCTGCTTCATTAAGTCTTTGATACTTAACATATAAGAATTTTTCTGGCCAACATGGTGAAACCCCATCTCTACTAAAAATACAAAAATTAGCTGGGCATGGTGGTGCGCCCCTGTAATCCCAGCTACTGGGGCAGCTAAGCTAGGAGAATGGCTTGAACCCAGGAGGCAGAGGTTGCAGTGAGCTGAGATCATGCCGTCGCACTCCAGCCTGGGTGACAGAGCAAGAATCCGTCTGAAAAAAAAAAAAAGAATTTTTAGCATCTAATCTACAGAAGGTCAGTTCAGCCTTGTTGGGCTTGGTGAGCCGCAGATGTGATTGGGCCATTTGAAGAACAGAAAATAAACCTGAAGGGACCAGAATAAGCATAGTCATGGGAGAGGGTCAGGCTGTCCTGGGCAGATGGCACTGGGGCTAGTGGGTCAGGCTGTCCTACAAAACCCATCAGTCATAGACTGTTCAGTGCATCGGGACTCTGGATGAGTTAAAATGCTTTATAGAGGTACAGTGAACTGACTACTCCATGAGGCTCAATGTTGAGGCCCAGATAGCTTTGAGAATAGCTGCTGACAGCATCATTCTTTTTCTGTCTGAAGAAAAGAATCATTCACCAAGAGGAGAACTTTCCACTAGCTGCTGGATCTTGAGCCAACTAATTCAGTTTGATCAGTCAAACTTGAACTTGCTTCTGATTTCAGCCATCGCTGATCATATCACCCGGCACTATGCTCTTAGGCCCCCCATTGTCTAATGGAGAGGCTCAATAGAGAGATGCATAGCTGTACACTCACACTAATGCTTCTATTTCTTGTGTCAAAATCCTAAGGGGCAATTTTACCAAAGCTACATTGTAGGTAGGGATCACAGGGTGTATTAATCTTCCATCCTTTAAATGCAGAAATTCTGCAAGGGATGCAACATTTGCTGGGACATTTCCAAGAGTAGTTTGACCAGGAGTGAGCTTCCTGTCAGATTGTTGCTGGGCTTAGGGACACATTAGCTACCTTTAGTCAAACATTCATTGGCTCTATAAAAAACAGCAGCGCTACTGAATGTCTTTGAAATCCACGGCCCACTTTGAATTAGCACAAATCTCTAAGAAGCTCTGTTATCTATTCATCTTAATAGAAACATCAATGCATTTATGGCTGAAATTTGATTAAAATTATTTACTTGGGCAATGCTGAGCCAAAAGTCACATCCTCTCACCTCTTCCACTGGGAAGGGAAGTGGAGTTAATGCTTTCAGGACAGGAATAGCATCAATTCGAATCGCACATCTCATACATTGATCCTTCAGAGCTTTGAACAAAGAACAGAATATTAGTCCCCTCATTGCCCAAGGAGGATGTTAACCTGTACCTCTGCAAGAGCGAGGACACCACTAAAGTCACCTTCCCCCGCTGGATGGGGCAGATGCCAACTGTGAACGGGAACTTGGTTAGAGTAAAAGATTCTTTGTCAGGAATGTGGAAATTGTGACATTAGGGACTAACCTGGGCTAGAGGATAAAGCTTCAATGAAATTTGCAAGTTCATTTTGGTTTATATACCTGTTGGAGCTGAGACATTAAATGCAGAAGGCTTTTAATCTAGGTATTTTAAACACTACTTGATACCATGGACTAGTGTCACTCAACAGAGAGTACTTCAAGGACAGAGCTATCTCTGAACCAGAATAAGACCCCAGGAAGGCTGATTCAGCCCAGAGCATTTGGGACAGGGTTATTTTCTTTTGTTTCAACATTCACTTTTGACAGAACTGGCTTTTCTCTTCGCCCCTGCTGGAGAGCTAATAACTTCCTTCATGTTCACCTTACTCCATTTCCCCCCTCCACCCACCCAGGCTAGTGCAGCTGACTCAATATGCAGGAATGCCATGCACTTTATTTACATTTATTTCTGTCGGTCATTTGCTATCAAGATAGCTAGAGAGACATAATAAGTAATTAAACACAGCAGCGGATCAGGTAGGTTAGCGTACCAAAAAAAAAAAAAAAAACAAAAAACAAAAAAAAACCCAACAACAACATAGAATAAATAGCCACAAAGTGCAGGCTCAGTATTCAGGATTAGAGCAAGAAACAGGCAATACAAAAAGAAGATTATAGCCAAACCCTCTCCTGTCTCAGGCAGAGCTATTTGTTCCTGAGATTTCTAAAGATGCACTCAATTCCTGCACACATCTGAGAGTTCCATAGCTGTGGCTGACATTGAAAATAAATAATCCAAATCAGCTTGGCCATATTAACTCTGAAATCCACTTTACTAGTGAGATAGAATTTACTTCAGGCCATCTAGGTCAATAGGCTTGGAGAGGGAATTCCAAAGATGAAGGCCCTTCATAGAAAATGCTCAGCCTTCAGACCTGTGTAGTTCTAAATCAGAGAGCTTGGCACCTCCAAGCCCTCCAGCTGCTGTGAGGGCAAACCCAGGAAAGAGGTGGTCATTGCATATAACCTAAATCCCCTTTCTGCTGCCTCTCCCTCAACCCCTGAAACAGAATGCTGTTGAGGTCTGCTACGTTGATTCCCCCTGAAAGCAAAGAGGCAACTCATGAGGTATGGAAGCCTGGAGGGAACAAAGGCAAGTGTGAACGTGTGTGAGCTCATACTTTGGTATGATGAAAAGTAGGTACTCTTCAAAAGGTCTGCTCTGTGACAGAGGGGCTCGTTACTGAGAGCAGAACCGCACTGCCCACACAAAGGCAGGTGGGGAGGGAAGGGGCTCACTGAAGTTAGAATACAGACAATATGGAACCAAAGATCGTTGAATCTTAAAATCTGCCTGTTACAAGCATTCATTTAAAGCTGTTGGTAAGGGCAAAGATCAAAGAATAGACGTGGCTGGAAGATATGTTTTCCTGTTTACTCTCCCCAGGTAGCTTTTGGAAATGATTGTTGAAAAAAAATATCAGTCAAAGTAAAAATGAGTCTGTGGTAAAATAATGCCCTTCCCCCAAAGTCATCCACATTCTAATCCCAGGAACCTGTGAATACGTTAGGTTACATGGCAAAGGAAATTAATGATGCAGATGGAATGAAGTTTGCTACTCAGCTCAACCTAAATGAAGGAAGAATATTATGGATTATTCTTGTGGGTGCAATATAATCACAAGGGTCCTTCAAAGTAGAGGAGGGAGGAGAGGTGAGAGTAGTGTGTTGTGAGAAGAACTCAGACTGCTGTTGCTGGCTATGAAGATGCAGGGAAAGGACCACAAGCCAAGAACTATAGGAAGCCTCTGGAAGCTGGAATGGGCAAAGAAACAGAATCTCCCTTAGAGCCTCCAGAAAGATATGCAGCCCTGTGACACCTTGACTTTAGTCCACTGAGACATGCGATGAACAAGTGTCAGATGATAAATTTGTGTTGTTTTAAGCCATTAGGTTGGAGGTAATTTATTAGAGCAGAAATAGGAAACTAATACAGACCCCAACAATCAGCTTGACATGGAAATGTGAAGTTTTTGCATTAAGCTTTGTCTTGAGTCATGATCACCAGGAAATCAACAATCACTTGGGAAAAAGAAAATGGAATTCCTTGCTTAAGTTGAAGACATGCTATTGTTTCTGCCTGGCTAGCTAGCTAGCACGCTGGTTCATCTCCTGCATTTTATGTGGTACCCTGTTTGGGATGAGAACAACATTTAGCAATTATTAGGAGAACTCGTTCCCAGCACATTGTCAATCCCAACACTACTGGGTTGATCTTAATGAAAGACTTGTTAAGTGATCGGCCATGTAGCTAAAGCAATTTAACCAAAAAAACGGCAAAGAGATGGGCAGTCACCTGTCATGTCGTGTTTTCTGAATACCTAAAGGCCAGCCGTTGAAAGATATTTCTCTCTGAATGCCAGGGGAAAAAAAAGAAAAAAAAAAAGAAAGGATGGTCCTGCTTTACTTTGATATGCTTCACTGCATTCAAGGTCATTCAAAAACCAGTGCTAGAATTAGAAAAGAATTCCAGGACATGGAAAGTGTTTTTCCAAATCACCAACACATTCACCCGAGAATTAAAAACTAAATTAACTTTGAGTAGAGAGGTGAAAATGGGCAAATATACCTGAGGTCTTACATACAACAGGACCCTGCTTTTCTTTTAAATTGTGTGACAGTTCATGTCGACTAAAATTAGGCTTTGATGCATCCCTCTCATATGTTTTTAAAGATAATGAGTGTGCAAAGTTTCTGGCACATGGCTATTCTTTATCAGCATCACTTTATAGGAAGAAACTACTAGACAGAAGAGGGTAGGCTAGAAAGAGAGACATTCCTGGTTGAATGTGGGATTTGTTAGAGATGTTGGCTCTTTGATTTGCACCCAAAAGATTCTTACCACCTGGTGGCCCTCTTATGTTTTCAACAAGTGGCTAATGGGAACGGGCTGCGCTAACTGAACTTCAGGACTGGAGAGGAGCTAGTAGGTGAGCCCTGGGGCGTGGTCTCCTCTGAATGAGCAAGCACATTTTCAACACAATTGGCTGCCTAATCGCGTGTTGCAAAGTTGGCTGATGTATTTGGATGTGTAAGCAATTATGTTCCCGCTAAAAGCCTTGGTTGTAATGCTTTTGCTCTCCATTTCTTACAACTGAACTAACAGAGGGAAGAAATTGGTATGGAAATGATTTTCAATATGTTTTGTGTTGCTTTTTAACTTTTCTTTTAAAACATTTTTAAATCAAGATGGCCAACTAACTGATCCAAGATTTATTAACCTGCAAGCACCACACAAAATAGAAAACAAAGAGAAAAAGAAATGTAGAGGATAATAAAAGTAGTTTTAGTAATAGAAAAATTTCTGATGAAAAGGCCTACATGTTTACATTAAACCACATCATTTAAATGTTATTAATTTTACTGAGCACCTCTCTGTATGGGGCACAGTGTAAGTTGAGTATTGAGAATGACTAAAGCATATGGCTCCTGACTTCAAGAAATTCTCTTCAGGCTGGGCACGGTGGCTCACATCTGTAATCCCAGCACTTTGGGAGGCCAAGGTGAGTGGATCACCTGAGGTCAGGAGTTTGGTACCGGCCTGGTCAACATCATGAAACCCCATCTCTACTAAATATACAAAAAATTAGCTGGGTGTGGTGGCTGGCCAGTGCCTGTAGTCCCAGCTACTCAGGAAGCTGAGGCAGGAGAATCGCTTGAACCCAGAGGACAGAGGTTGCAGTGAGCCGAAATCATGCCATTGCACTCGAGCCTGGGCAACAAGAGCGAAACTCCGTCTCAAAAAAATAAAATAAAATTTAAAAAAAAGAAATACCTGTTCAAGTAGGCATTTGGCAGATATTGGCTTAATATCTGACTCACCTGAGGTTTCATGAGATGAGACTCTTCTTCTCCAAAAGAGCAGTTACTGTAAACCAGAGACTGAATATTTTGCTTTTCAATAATCCTATCACAGCCTCCACTAAGATTTCCCCATCTATCACATTATGCTGCTAATTAATTTCAAAACTACTACAAGTTGTTTCATTAGGGGCTAAAAAACAACACTCAAACTATTGCCTCAAATAGTCTGGGAAATTAGGCAAACCAAAAAGAAATAGGCAAGTTTTAAAACAGCCATATTTGTCATAAAAATATGGAATTGTAGACCTCTAAAAACACATTTTTGCAGTTGCTTCCTGCAGATATTGCACATAATGTTTCTGTAATTCTGGTAACTTTAGCACTTCAGATTTTCAAGTTCAACTGAGAATTCATTATCATTCCTTCATTAAAATGTCTCCATGTGCAAAACCAAACTGACACTTCGTGTGCAAGCAGTAAGATCTGAATTTGAATTCTAGCTCCTTTGCTTACTAATTCTGTGATGTCACTGTAGCCCTTTCCAACTCACTTACTTCTACTGATAAATGGGAGATTTCTTACATCCCAGGACAATTACGAGCATCAAATAAAACACATATGAGGACTTGCCTAAGGTAGTGCCTCAGCGTAAAGAGAATCTCAGTAAGAATTAAGAGTTGAGGTGAGTACTGAAAGTAAGTTTTGCAAAGTATATTTGTCAACTCTGTCAAGGAGACTTTAAGTCTCTTTCCATTACAATGGAGATTTAATATTGAAGGCAGTTGTATTCTTAATTCCTTGAGTGTTCAGCGTTTAAGTGTATGTTTTACCTTATTGAGAGCTGATAAGATGATGTTGTCTTGCACAACCTGGAGAGCATTCTGGCACTTTCTACACATGCACAACTTTGAAGTTTGGAGTAATCAGTGAAAATAATAATATAATCTTTAACATGCACTGTCACAGTTTGCAAATGAATATATCCAATGAGCTTGGAGTTTTACTTTCTCTGAAACTCTTCCCAGTTGAGTCAATTATTGGTTATTAAAATGAACACTCAGTCCTTAAGCTCTATAGTGTTCTTATTCTGCTGGGGTTCGCCTATACTCTTTGGAACACAGAAATCAACAGAGCAAGTGCTCATGCAGATTTTTCTCTTATTTCCAATGCAAGACACTGTGGCTAATCCTTTAGGTTGGCCTTATCACATCCAATTCTCCCTTTTGAGTAAGGGCAATAACATGCATAACCAGGATTTGGGCAGCAGCCGTTTGAATTTTACCTGGATGACCTGGACTGAAAGCCCAGGATACAACAGAGGTTGGTTGGTGACACATTGCTGATTGATAATCCAGGTATAGACATAGACTGTGAGACCAAAGGGCAATATTAAGCCTTGGGAAATGATTCTTAGGGAAAGCAGAGTCACTATCTCAACCCCACAAACAAAGGGAGAGTGGGAAAAGCCATGGGCGAAAATGAAAACCAACAGCGCTTATTGAAGATATCAGAGCAACCAGAAGCTGGGGCAAAACTGGGGAACTTCGGAAATAAAGGCTGACTCAACCACAGAGGGGGCAGTCATCCAGTGAGATTCAGAATCTCTGAGGAATTGACTTGTGGCAAAGCCAGAAGAGTCCTGAAGACATTTTCCTTATTATTTTTTCCCACTCCAGATCATGTGTATGGGTGAGGGTGAGAGGTCTGATGGGTCACTGAGACAAAGAGCTTTGAAGTGAAAAGCTGGTATGTACTGTGACAAGGGGCTCTGGGATTCCACCAGCTGCTGGTACATAAAGCGGGGGGTAACCACTGATTGTCTGAGCTGGGTTCATGCATGGGCTCTCTTTTATTTCCTTCCACAATTGGCACCTCCCTTAGGAATCTCTGTTATAGTTAATATCTCCAGTGTGCTCCTCCTATAGAGCATCCAAATTGAAGTTCTTCATGAGATTGGTAAAGGGATGCTAAAAGGATGGGGTGGGTGCTGCCTTCTCATCTGAAGCCTCGTAGGGGAGCTTCCAGGGACAATGCCAAGAACTTTTTAATGTGTTTACTCAAGGTGGGAGACCAAAAGGTCTGGTGCCAGACTCACAACTGACTAAGGTAATGCTGCCTGTGGACTCAAGCCTGACTCCCTATTGGGAGAGCCAGCCTAACAAAGAGATCATTGCTTTGCTGGCAAAAGTGGGATGCGCCTGCTGACCAATGTCTGTGAGACATATGGATATAATAATATTTTCCATAGACCACATCTGGGCTATGCAAGTATAAGGTAAACACACCTAACAGCAATAACGTAAGCATACTCTTAGGATGAGCTTGTATGCCAGACATGCCTGAATGTGTGTTCCAACCAAAAGCGTCTGGGGTTTGCCAACCCAGAGATAGGTTGTCTATGAGGAAAATCTGAGACCCGGCTCGTCCGGTGGAAGGGTCATTATATTAGTCAGTTTTCACACTGCTATTAATATAAAGATACTACCCAAGAAGGAAAGAGGTTTAATTGACTCACAGTTCCACATGGCTGGTGGCGCAAGAAACTTTCAATCATGGCGGAATGTCAAGCAGGCATCTTCTTCACATGGCAGCAGGAGAGAAGTGAGTGAGGGTGCAGGAAAAAGTACCATTTATAAAACCATCAGATCTCCTGAGAACTCACTCATTATCACAAGAACAGCATGGGAGAAACCGCCCCTATAATCCAATCACTTCCCTCCCTCCGTATGTGGGGATTACAGGTCCCTCCTTTGACATGTAGGGTTTACAACTCAAGATGAGATCTGGGTTGGGACACAGAGTCAAACCATATCAGCCATACGGGAGATCGAAGCCCTGAGTTTTGGGTTGAATGCAGGTTGCCAGGTGCAGGTCGTTAAGGGGAGGATGTTAAGTGAAAATGCTAGATAAACGGCATGCTGTTTGCAAGTAGTTGTTGTTCTTCTGCCCAACCAGCTGCCACTGGGCCATATGCAAGGCAGATATGTTGTCCAGCCCCCTACCATTGTACCATTTCTGTATGTAAGGTGGTTTTCCTGCCCAGTCCACTGCCACTGGACTCTCTCCTCTATGTAAGTCTCTAATAAAATCCTGTGTGTCTCTTTTGCTGGTTTTGAGTCTCTTCTTCAGCCTCTTAAACCTGGCAATTTCCTTACTGAGGTCAATAGGGATTCGGCACAACAGCAAGAGAGCCAAAGTAGAATTGCTGAGGGCCTGCCTGACCATGCAGGAAGAAGCTGGAGAAATAACGCACCCAGCCTTGGTTGAAGGAGCAGCCAGTAACCACTTTGAATAGAGAGCGGTATTTTGTTTTTGTTTTGTTTCAAAAGAAACTACAGAAAGGAGGTCCAGTTGGGGATATCCCAAGACTCCCCAAAAGGGTCCTTCTATAAACTAAATGTTTGTGTTCCCCTAAATCCATATGTTGAAATCCTAACCCCCAATGTGATGGTGTTAGGAAGTGAGGCTCTTGGGAGGGAATTAGGTCATAAGGGTGGACACCTCATGAATAGGATTAGTGTCCTTATAAGAGAGAAGACCTCAGAGACCTCTGTCACCCTTTCTGCCATGTAAGAACATAGCAAAAAGACAGCTGTCTGTGAACTAAGAAGAGGCCATTCCCTAGAACCGAATCTGCTGGTACCTTGATCTTGGACTTCTGAGGCACCACAACTGTAAGAAATGAATTTCTGTTGTTTATAAGGCACCCAGCCTATGATAGTTGATTACAGTAGCCCAAACAGTAGCCCAAACAGACTTAGGCATGTCGCAAAAGAGAATTAGTCAACTTTAAATATAAGCTAGGTCCAGAATAAAACCTCAAAAGCAAATAAGAACTGGGGCCTCTTGGCTTTCTGTCCCCTCTCCCCCCCACCCATTTTGGCCTTGCTGACCAGCACAGACAGCTATGAGTGGGAGGCAAGCAGAGCACCTAGGCAGGAGAAGGTGGCCACGGTCCTCACCATAGCAGCAGGGCTCCAGGCTGGAGCCGGTGTGAGCTGGAGGAGGCCAGAGGTTATTATGCAAAGTCAAGGTAAGAGTTCTGACTGAAACCTGGGACTGTGCGCTAAATATCAAATTGTGACATTTTCTTCTCTAAAGTGATGATAGAAATGTCTATTGCCAGAAAGTGAGTCAGTAAGCCGTGGCACCGGTCCAAATTCTTATCTGGTACAGATAGTTGCCCAACTAAATAAAGCTCAGAAAGATAGTAAGAGACCAAAACGATCTGCCTCTTGATTCTTTTCTTCAGGATATCCTTGTTCAACTTAAGTCTTATACACACAGCCATCCTAGTAGGAAATCAGGGAGCCACCCAAGTTCTCCCTTTTTCTTGTCACCCTCAATCACTCTACCATCAAAACCTATACATTTTACTCTCTAAATGTATTTTAACCCATCCCCACCACTTCCTCCCAAGCTGTGTCTTAGTTAAAATCATTATCAAATTCATCTGGACTACAGCATGCCGCTTTCACCAGATCTGAGCCTCTGGTCTCAGCCTGTGTCCCCATTAAATATGTTTGATAGATATATAAGTGGTCAATATATCTAAGCCATTATTCTAATCAGTTATTTTTATTCATGCTTTAAGATTTGGCTCAATAGTCATCTTAAGAAGCCCAAACAAGGCCCACACTACTGGCTGACTCTACCTACCCACTCTGTGCATAACTCTACCTTTGTAGGAATATCAATATATCTACCTATGTCACTCACAACTCCAAACTTTTCAAGGGCAAGAAGTCTTCATTTTAGTATGACCAGCTTTTAATCAATTATTTATCACAAAATAAATTCTTAATAAAAGTTTCCTAGACTGAATTAAACCTCCTATGTTAAGAATAAAGTTAAACAATAAATAATAAAATTATATGGTAATACATTTATTTTTAAATTAATTATTCTGCATTTGCAACTCCCAGCATTTCGTTATTTGTGCAGGTAGACTGTTAAATTATAGTAAATTTAATGAGATCATCTTGGGTCATGCTTTGTTATTGCCCATTGTGAGCACCATGTTATAAATGGCCTTTTACCATTTTCAGGGTGCTTGCATAAATGCCATTCAGATGTCATTGAGGTAGGGAAACTATATGTTCCTTCCCAACAACCTCTCCGCCCTGGTAAGGTGTGTATTATAATGAAAGTAAGTTTTACACCAAAGTCTGCCACAAGTACATACCTTTATTTATTATTAGATACAATAATATTTACTAACCACTTCTTGTAAGATCAGGCATGTTCTTACTGTTACCTTTTAGGCACTCTGAAAAGAGCCAGTTATTAGGTTTACTCAGAAGACAGGATCAGTTAATCTACTAGAATCAGGCCAGAAATCGTCTTAGTCCATTTGGGCTGTTATAACAAAATGCCTTGGACTGGGTAGTTTATAAACAACAGAAATTTATTTCCCATGGTTCTGGATATGACGAAGTCCATGATCAAGGACTGCCAGCAGATTCAGTGTCTGATGAGGGATTGCTTCTTGGTTCACAGATGGTGCTTTCTTGCTGTGTCCTCACATGGTAGAAAGGGTGAGCTACCTCTCTGGGGCCTCTTTTGTAAGGGCACTAATCCCATTCATGAGGGCTCAACCATTATGACCTAATCACCTCCCCAAAGGCCCTATTTCCTAATACCATTCCCTTGGGGGTTAGAATTTCAATATATGAATTTTAGGGTGACATAAACATTTAGATCATAGCAATAATTTTCTGGTAAGTGTTACAGAGGATCAAATGGACTTGGAGTCAATCCAAAGATGCTACACTGATGGCCTGTCCTTGTTCCTACAAGGGCAGAAGAGCCTGCATATTTTTTTCTCTAATCAATTACACATTTTTTTGATCCTCCTCTAAAGCATCAATATCACATTTTAAATTCTACTCATTCAATTAATAAAAGTTCTTCCTATTCATTTTGCTAATGAGCAAACCTTCTGGAGAAGATTTAGCTAATGTTATGTCAAGTGTTTGTCAAAACCACCTCTGGAGGGTAGAGTCCTGATTAACCTCTTCCAAAGCTTCCCAGCCATCCTTGGAGTAGTGTCATTAAATAAGAAACTTAAAATAGTATCTGACACCTAGGATCTAGTAAAATTAATTTACACACACATATTATAAACCATGTTATATATACTGGAGAGCTTTAAAATAAATTACAGATATGATAACTGAAGTGTAGCAAGAAAAGTCTTAAAAGGTTAATTTTGGTCTATAGTTTGCTGTTATATTTTTCCTTTCCTCCATTAAACCAGAGGAACCCACACTGCCTGAAGTAGAGTTAGGATTGCTATGGCAGCAATTCTAAAGAGATAAAAAAGAGCCAGTGTTTTCTATTGGCTTCCCAAGTGATCTCTTGAAAAGCAAAAGGGAAAGCCCAGCTATGCATATTTGGTGTAGGCCACAGAATTAGATTGAAAGATAATCACAGGCAGAGATCAATGGGCCACCCTACCTTGTGTGGAAAAGAGGAGGCAACGGGGCTGCATTTTCTTCAACCTAATTTCCATTTGTATCCTTTTTCTTTATATTTTTAATTGATTGGTAAATATATCACCCTACTGTCAGTTGACAAACAACCCAAGAGTTGGATATATTTAATGAGACCAAACCAAAGAAAATAGGAAATAAAGAACAATGGAGAAGAAAGTGAACGACTTTTTGATATAGAAAAGTTGAATTCTTTGCAAAGAAGTTTCTGATGACTACATTTTAAAAAGGTTACATATTTCTTCCTTCACTTAAAAATAAAAACAATGATGCTAACACTTATTGAGCAATTCCTATGTGCCAGGCACTTGTCCCGGTACTTATGTACTTGTGATCCTTTTATACTAATTGGGATGCAAGCTCTTTGAGGGTAGGGCTTTCTGTTGGTCTTTGTTCACTCTTATGCTCGCCAGGGCCTATGGAAGGATCTGGTTTGTCATCAACACCAAATAAATATTTGTCGAATAAATGAGTATACTGACTTACAGAGTCTTCTGTCAGGAAGCCCTGTGAAGTAGATATTCTCATCACCCCTATCCTGCAGTTAAGTAATCTGAACTACCGAACTCGCAAGGCCTCAGGTTTTTACAGAAGGATTCAGAATCTACCCAGACCAGTGTGCCATGATTTTTCCTCCTCCTGCCTTCATTTCCTATCCCATTCCTTTACCTAGTTCTTTCTCTCTCACACAGCACTTTCAATGCAAAGAGGCACAGCCAGCTACTATGACCCATAGCTGTGCAGCCAGTTAGTGGTGAAATAGCTCAGAAACCAAGATTTGTGATTCTAAACCATCCAGCCTCCTCATTCCAACTCAGCTTCTCTCAGTCAGAACAAATAACTCATTATTTATTGAAGTTGGATATTGATTAGCTCTCAAAAGCTGCACACATTTGCTTTCTTTTTACCTTTTAAAAAATAATTTCTTAGATCATGATTACTGAATTTAGTCATCAGGTTTAGATTTTTAAGAGAGTGAATCAGATGATGTTGAAGCTGAAAGGGACCTTCAAGGACATCTGTTGAAACACTATTTTTTTCTACACAAATGAGCAAACTGTGACACGGAATAATCTGTTCAAGGCAACCCACTGAATCAGTGAAAAAATCACAGTAGAAGATAAATCTCCAGAGACCTAGTTCAATGCCTTCCACCCATGTACTAGACTTGCTTCCTTGATTCAATTATACTCCATTTTTAGAATCAGACATGTTAACTTGGATGAGACCAATTTTTTTCTACCCGGTATGCTTTTTCCAAAAAGTGGCAATAGGGGAAATCCTGTGGCAGTCTGCCACCCACCCTGAAGGCCTGAAACGTCCTTTAAGTTCCCCTGCTACATTTGCTTGTTTTGCTGTTTAGGATTTTGTGACTGTTTCTTTAGGTCGTACGCAATTCCTGATTCTTAGAGCAGGCTCTCATTCCACAGTCCTAAACCCCATATTGAACATTAGAAATGCAATCCCAGCTAGAGAGATGAAGAATTTTAAGAGGTCTTCTTTTTTCTTTTTCTTTCCTTCCTTCCTTCCTTCCTTCCTTCCTTCCTTCCTTCCTTTCTTACTTTCTCTCTCTCTCTTTCTCTTTCTTTCTTTCTTTCTTTCTTTCTTTCTTTTTTCCTTCTCTCTTTCTTTCTTTCTTTTTTTTTTTTTTTGACAGTGTCTTGCTCTGTCACCCAGGCTGGAGTACAGTGACATGATCTCGGCTCACTGCAACCTCCTCCCTCCGGGTTCAAGCAATTTTCCTGCCTCAGCCTCCCAAGTAGCTGGGATTACAGGCACCCACCACCATGCCCAGCTAATTTTTTTGTTGTTGTGTTTTTAGTAGAGTCGGAGTTTCATGATGTTGGCCAGCCTGGTCTCAAACTCCTAACCTCAGGTGATCCACCCGCCTTGGCCTCCCAGAGTGCTGGGATTATAGGCGTGAACCACTGCACCTGGCCAAGAGGTCTTCTAATATCAACTCCTGAAGTTTAATTCCTGAATATACCAACTACATGTTTGGACAACTACATGTTGGAATCAAACTCCTAATCCAATATGTTTCAAGGAAAGAAATCCTTGCCAACCCTTGACCTGAACACTGCCTAACCGGCCTGAGGAGCCCATGGCTCCATGGAGGAATGGTGAAAAGCAAGAAAAGTGGCAAGGAGGTCTGAGAGGGACGTTAGCATCCACTCTCAAGACAATTGTGATGCATGGTCAGAAATTCCTCTTACACACATTTGCCCTAGAACAGTACAGAAAGGGACTTAAAGTGAGCTGGTTCTGTTGGTTGGACTTGGATATACTTGTCACTGTTGGTTTCTTGTTGGAGAGGAATCTATTTTCCTCAGGGCCTAATAACAGGCACAGGGGAGACATTCGCTGACTTATATGACTGAGACATTTGACAAGAGGGTGGTGATGATGATGGTGAAGGGAGAAGGTGGAAGGGTAGTCACCCAACATCTGAAACATGATGCTAAATAGGAAAAGGACTTTCACCCCTTTTAAGTTGAGAAAGAGATAGAGATAGCATCTTGGTGTCATAGTAGTATTTAAAAAGTTATTACAAGCTAAGGGTTTTTCCTCTACCTAGAACAAATCAAGTTATCTTCAAATCCAGCCCAGCCTTGAAGAGAACAGAAGCCAAACTCTTAAGCATCAGAGAAGGTTTGAGGCTGTGATGACCTGAAAGAGTAAGCCCAATGAGAGAGAGTGAGCTTTATGTTTATGATAAAATGGGTAACATCAGTTTTGTCTTGCAACTGTTGTCCACAAAAATGCCTTTGTCAAAATGCAATTTAACACAAAGGCAGGAAGCAGACTCTTCTATTCCAGGAAGAAACACGGGGAGCAGAGGCAGGGCAGGATCTTGTCAGAAGGGGTGGCCCCATGGTGGCAGTCTTCCCAGAGACTCCAGTGGTGATGGAGGGGTGGCATCAGCAGGCAGTGGGGACCCCTTCTGTAGCTGCACGGGTAGCACCAGGCAGCACAGGGAGAGTAGGGGAGGCTGCACTGCTGAGGAGGGATTGGCATGGCTGGCTGAGGGATGCTGTGAGCTACGCCATGGGCCTCACGTGCACAAGAATGAGGGCCTCAGGAACCAGGATTCTGGAAGTTTGGATAGCAGGCATTGTATCCAGAGATTACTGCTTGGACAATTATTCTTGTCATCTACCTCTCCATCCAGGCAGGATCTAAGAAACATGGTTAGATAAACACAGCCAGATTCCAACTGAGACCCTTCATTGAGGGAGGGTTTCAGGGGTTCTCATCCCAGGTCTCTTCATTTAGTACTAGAGAAGGGGAAACTGTTTGAACTGGAACTATTTACACTAAAGATTTTGAGAAAGACATAGCTTTCTCCCAAAGTTCACTTCTATATGGCAAACAGAGATTGCACACTGATCCAAAGGCTTGGCTAGAAATGAGAGAATAAGGAATTTGTCTTATAACCCAAAGAGGTCAGACTTCAGTCTTCCCTGAAAGAGCCTCCTGGATGCAACTTAGCAGGTGTCTCAGCTCCCTAAGAATGGAATAATTTTGGATAGTCCCTGAGTACCTATCAAGTGTAATAACATTTGGGTCTTTATGTGTAACAGAAATTCACCAAATGGAAAATTTCCACCAATTACACTTTCCACATACTTTTGTTTAGTGCCTAATATGCCAATCTGAAATTATTCCCAGCTCATAGACCCTATCCACTGATAACCCTCTATTCTCATTGCCTTCAAAAAAACAAAAATGAATTGGAAAATCAGTGGACCTCCTGTCTTACTCCCTTTCCTGTCCTTGTGGCAGAAGTCACGAGTAGATGATAGCACATTTTTCTTGTGTAGTGAAGGTATGGCCTCGGAACCCATCATCACGTATTTACTGAGCCTCTATTATGTGCCAGGCACCCCAGGCAGATGCTATGCATCCATGTTAGTGTTGGCAAATGACATGAAACCAGTTTCGCAGTTCAGATACAGAGCCTACATTCAATTTTACTTTTCTTAGACCTTGTGTGACTAACACAATCTAGCTTGTTAGTCCCCCGTCACCGCTCTCTTTCCATTGGGCTGGAACAGGAATCTCCTCACACAAAAAAGCGCTGTGTTATAGCTCAGTCATGAGTATATTGAATTATTCAATACTGTTAGCATCTTCCTAAAAGTCAAAAGGCAAGTGAGTGGATGTTTTTTTGTGACTCAGTGAGAATGCAAAACTTACTGATTTAATTACAGTGATCTCTAAACAAAAAGTTGCTACCTATTAACCTCCTAATGGGCTTAAATGTAATTGCTTCTGACACCTGAGATAGGAAAAATGAATTCTTCTGTTCAAGCCATAACTTTGGAGTTCTTTGGCACACAGCATGAAAACTTTTTCCCTCTGATTTTGATTAGATACTTTGGAAATAAGCCTTAATAAGTCACTTAAATTCTGCCAAAGTACTTGAAGCCTCTTTGAATGCCTGATCCCAAGGTGACTGTCTCTCAAATTTTATGTATCATATGTACTTTTCAAATGACCCAGTGATTTTTTTCTAAAAGCTAGAAATAACAATTTTAGTGTCAAAATGCCCCCCCTCTAAAATTTTAGGATACTAATGCTCAAGACTATTCTTTTAGCAAAATGACAACTATTGACATGCTCATTATCTAATAATAACAGTTTTAAATTTATGCAGAGGGCAGAATTAATGAGATATTTCCATTTTGTGGTGGAGACTATTTCTAAAATGATGGGATATGTATTGGTGAAATAAGTATTGTCAAATAACACAACTATCTGATTATGCATCACAATGAGTATTAAACAAACCCTCCACAGTGGTAAATAAGGAGAATATACTTGAGAACTAGGTGTCTCAGACTGGAGACAACCAAAAATGTTGGATTATTGTAGGTGGCTCACATACCATTTTGTGGTTATGGGGAAAACAGTGGCATCTGTAAAATGATTTTAAAATTCATCTTTTATTATTTGCAATCTTTTTTTAAAAATTAACTTTGAAATTAACTGATTTCTATTATCAGAGAGTTCAAAACTATAAACAAATGCATGGCATTGCTAGCAAGCATTTGATATTATTATAAGACTTTCAACATCTAGGTTTAATACTTGCCGATGAAACATTTCTATTGAACCTCAGCCCTATTGAGGCTGGGTTGATTTGGTTTCTTGTGGATTAACTGTATAGGAGCTCCTTTCTTTGGTGAAGGGCATTAAATAAAACATTTAAATACTGGTGCACAGTTCAACTCCAAGGACTCACTCGATGCTGGCCCAGATTTTCCTTAGCTTTTGTTCTCCGAGAAGCTTATTTTTTTGGCTTATGGAAGATGTGTGAATTTATGATCTTAATAACTTTATATTAGAAGTGTCTTTTTAAAATTTTATGACTTTTCCCTGAGACTTCTTGTGATATTTTTTCCCCCAGCACATTTGAGAAAAGAGGATTGGTAGTTTTAAAATGTTGCATTTTCTATAGCATCCTATCAGTACACTTAAAGGAAAGCAGGGAGGCCAGGTCAGGTGTTTTTCCTACATCATTTCCCATGACTCCAGGGCTGTCCGCTGCCTCCACAGGGAGGAAGAGAATGGTGGCTTAGGGGCTTTGCCTCACATCAGTATCCCTGGATGTTATCACAGGAACCTGCAAGCTGTTTTCCACAATTTCCACCAGGCAATAGCAAATTGCTATTGAACACGAGGATCTACGAGTGACTGAGAAGGGAATCACACAGCTAGTCCACTTTCAAATTGATGACCTCTTCAGTGCTATCATCATGACATGAAGAGTTGAAAAAATACATATCATGTCTAGTCATAACAGGAACATTTTCTTTAATAACTCTTTTCATTTTTTCTTTCTGTTCATCGTCACCTCTGGACATGAATATTCGCTGTCAAACCTTTGATCCCAACAATCCTCAAATATGAAAGGAGGGACAATTTTTATAATGTGGATGTTTTAATTTTCTGTAAGAGTGCTGGAAACTAAAAACCCATGAAGTTAAGGGATAAGATCAGCTTCAGCTTTAGAAAAGAGATTGACTGATATTTATTCAAAGAATTTTAAGTGAAACTTCACAACAGAGTGTGAAACCGATAGTGTGTATCTGGAGCTTAAGGTTCTGATTTTGTTTTCTTCCTGGAGCATGCGTGTGTGTGAGTGCCTATGTGTATATATTGGCTTAAGCAATATGGCCATCACCTGTAAGGTGCAAATTTCCCAGAAAATTATAAACTCTTTATTTGTTTTACTATGGCTGGTCTTTCCATTTATTCAGGTGTCACACAGTTTCATTTAGCCGGTGTTGGCGACTGAACATACGGAGGGTAAAGGGAACAGTACGTTAAATTGTGGGTAAAGCCACGTCTTATTTTCTCAAGTTACACATTCTCTTATAGTTACCTTGTGCCTTGGTGTTTACAGTTTTCCATGCAGTTTAAAAACAAACAAAAAAACGCGAAAAGATAGAGCTTATGATCTTTTCCTTCACCAGCATTTGAACATTAGGATTTGTCTTAATATCCTTTTGTAAAATATTTGAAACAGTAGGGAGTTGGATGCTTAGCTTTCATTACTCTTATTCAAGAAAGAAAATACTTAAAGTGTGACTTGCCATCTGTATTTCTTCTCTGCTTAGATTTTAAGTTGACATCTTTTTTGTGTTTTTATTTTAAAAATTCAGAAGTAATTTAGTGACCAACTTTTTACAAAGCACCTGAATCCTCCATTGATTCAACAGCACAAAATATCTGGGTAACAAGTGTTTTAAACTACAGGATCACAAGAGTTTGAATTTAGGTTTACGTACAAAACATCCGCCAAATCAGTTTTACTCATTTCTTGTTATTTCTCATCTCTAAATTGTTCTCCTTATATTAAAGTATAGAAAATGCTCAGACTGGATTCACATCTTGTTATGTAGCCTTTAGTAAGTTAACAAAATACGCTGGACAGGATACATTGGTAATCATTTACTTTGAACTAGTTGATAAAGAAAAAAACGTAATGTTCAAGGACATTAATCTCATGTCCATACTTCTTTTTAAAGCCATTTTTTAATCCTGTGGAAAGTCCTTTATTCAAGGTACCCTTTCACTAGGATGACAGAAAATATTAAGTTATGCATAAAATTAAAAAATTCTCAACAGATTCATTTTCCTTTTACTTTTGATTGTGAGGAGATTTGGAAGTTAGGTTAAAGTAGGAAGTGAAATTTTCTAATGCTGAGGCCCTATCTTGCCTGTTTTTTTCCACTAATATGGGTCTGGAACAGATCCCTAATATCCTAAAAAGCATTTTCTTGGAAGCTACTTACCTATCTCTGACACATTCCCCTAAACCATGGCTGGATGCTGTGGGTGTGACTGATATTCAGAGGCAAAACAAAAAAAGACAATAAAGCAAAAAAGTCATAAAGTTAAAAAGAGTAATCATGTTTTCCCCTGGCATTTTTTAATGTTCAGAATTTATAATGTCAAATTGTATCAGAATAAAAACACGAAAACATGAGATAAGTGTGTGGGGAAGCAATTTGGAACCTGAAGACAGTTTTTAATGGAATGCATTTGACAAGCAGCCTCCATCTTTACATTTGAGTATGGTCTGGTTTATGAATCCCAAATCCCTAAGAAAATAATTTTAAACAAATTGTGGGACATGTGTATACAAATTTATGACTTGGCTCTGGCATGGAAGAATGGTCTCTCCGAAAGAATAAAATCCTATTGGTTATAAATGGGTCAAAAAGAATTAGATTTTTTTATTTATACTTCAGAAATGTAATCAAGTGAATGAAATGGTTTCATATACATTTTTACATCCAACAGCAGTGACACACTGTTCATACATTAATTCTATAGTAAAATGTACATCCTTCTTTTTTGCTAAGTAAGATATGCCAAGTGTTCATGGACAAAAAAACCTTTCGTTGCAACCTGAACTAGTGAAATAACAAGGGTAAGCCATGTTCCTTTCAATAGCTTTATAGACTTAATAAAGCTATTGTCCAAATGTGTGTTAATACTGGCATGTGTAAGATGAAGTCTCAAAATTCTCAAAAATGTAAATGTCCAACTTGAAAACTTTACAAAATATCATATTGGATTTTGCGACTGAATCTGCCCAGGGACATTAAAGTCCAGGATGGTTTATGTAAGTGTACTTCTGTAGCTCTATTCCTAGCTGACTATTCTTCGATTCCCTAATCACAAAGAAATGCATTCTTATGAAGTTAAGCAGCTGTAGACACAGAATGCTGATGACATTTTCTCCATATCTGAGTTATCTAAAGAAAACCCAGTTAGTGGTAATTCTACCAAATACTTGTAACATTCACATAAAATTTTAATTGATTTTCAAATAGTACAACTGTGCCACGAATCCAACCACATAGAATATAAGCCTTAAGCCCACTAGGTTTAAGCAATTGTGTCTTTGTAGACTAAAACTATGTAAAATAAAATCTGATAACTCCCTGGTGTTAGAGGTAGACAGTTTTCTTTCAAATCCTAGGTTTGGTCCTTTATTTTATTCAGCAGTGAAAGCCATGAATACAGAACGAATAACAGCTGTTACAATTCTCAACCATGACTTCTAACGTCAGAGAATTCAAAGTATGAACATAGTACACAGTAATGAAAAGTATCAAAAATTAGTTTACCTCAAAAAAGATAAATAAAACAGGTATATTCCACCAATACATAAACAGATGTTTGTGCTACAGTTTAAAATTTGCTGTATACAAAAGATCATAGTCCCCATAATCAGCTTATGATAGAAGCAAGAATACATGAGCCATTTAAATTGTCAGACATTATGCTTTATAAGGTATGCACAGAAGTTCAAGCAATAAATACATACATTAGTTCAAAGCCTTACAATAGCTACGCAAAGCAGATGCAGAAAAGCAGATTTGCTATTACTAGCAAGCAATGATATAAGAGTAAAAATTCATGAAATGCATTAAAGCAACATTTTTCTTAGAAAAAGTCTGGTCATTTATGGGTCCACCAACATTTTTACATAATATGCACAATTATCAAAATACAGACCAAGCATTTCAGGAAACTCCAAAAAACCTAAAATCTATTTTCAAAGCAATTGCAGTTTTGGAGGTTTTTCTGGTATAATGTGCAAGCAGCTATTTTTTAAAATTGTATTCATATAAAACCCATGCAAAACTCTACAGGTATATGCATTCTGTGGCTGAGACTTCCTTTCAAAAGTTTTCTAACTGAGGTATGCATACTTTAGCATTGTAGTCTTAGGCCACCCTTCTGATGGTACAACTCTCGCAGTTACTTCCAGTCCCTCAAAGCCTTTTGAACATGCACCTGAAAGACCCATTTTTCCTTTCAGATAATCCTTACAGTAGGATCCTAGATGACTGAAAACCATCTTTCACCATACCCATCTTTCTTTTAATACCATATTGTAAACTTCCGGTTCGTTGATCATGACCCAAAGACAAACATAATGAAAAGTAGCAGTTACTGTGACGTTCTCACGTTTCATGCAATCTGCCATAATTGTTCTAATGTTTTTCTTTTTTTTTTTTTCTTTTTTTTTTTTTGCAGAGGTAGAAGCTTTCAGAAAGCCTTTTGGGTAAGTGGGAAAACCCTTTTGAAAGCCGTTATGTCCTTTTATTTGGTGTGATAGATGACTGGGTATCTCTCTAACTCTATTTGCTGACTTCAGCAAAGAATCAATGATGAGCTTAGTTTGCAAGAACCGGTTCCATCACATGGAACGGGAACGTATGTTAAGCTCTAGCAGCCACCTTCTGTCAAAACTGTTTGTAAAGCAATAACCATAATCAGGTTATGAGGTCCCTTGGTTGGGGGAAAAAGTATTATCAAGACTTGGCACAGCACATGAAAAGCAACATGTTAAGTTTCTAGGTTTTAAGCAAACATCTGACTATGCTATTTTCAACTACATCATAACTCATTATCATAGTTTTGGGGTTTGGAATTGTCAAGAAAACCAGCATTCCAACAATTTGGCCTGTGCAAGTCTTTGAAGGGAGTGTATTGTTAGTGTTAATATCCCGTATAAGCAGAGGCAGAATTATATGTAACTTTGGTTTGACTGAAAATAAATACCATGGACTACAATTGCTATAATCTTTGCTTTCAGTGTAAAAACTCAGCTAGATCACTTTAAAATCAATATGAAATTAATTTTTGGCTTTACTAGACCTTTTATGTTTGGTTCCTACTTTTTGTTTTTTCATTATAACTTAAGACTATAAAAAAATAGTACACAACAAAGATTAAGACCATACAAGACATCTTCTAACAACATGTATTCACCACTGAAAATAACTGACTGAATGAGGGAAAACAAAAACACAAAGTACTATATATATAACAATATGCAATCTGCATTTGCATCAAGTACATAATCGTTTTGGTCAGTGATCCACATTTGTTGCTTTCTAGCATATCATAACTTCCACTGCGGATTTTGTCCTCACCTCTGTCTTTAATGAAAGCAAATCTTCATTGCATTTAGATGGACTTTTGGCCTCAGAAGATTACTCTGTGACTGAATTAACATTTTTTAGTTGTGGTTTTTGTCATATTTGTTTCTTTGTTTAGGGCTAAATGAAAAGATCCCAGAGGTCATCAGAAAACAGCAGGTAGTTCATGGAAAAGGTTCCTTTGTACTAATTGAAGTTACAGAAGGCTGACCAAAGCATGTGGCTGCTTCTGTCCTTGAGCTCTTGGCCATGGTTAGAGTTGGCTTTGGTTTGCAGCTGTAGCCTTTGACTGTGTTTGCAGGTAGACAAAGCTTTATCACAAGGAGGTAAAGAGTACAGTTGTAAGATCTATGCAGATATGCAAATGTTTCTATGGTGCTTGCACAGATAATGTTAGCTTAGGATTGCACTTTACATCTTAACACTAACAGCACAGACTGGAAGCCTAAGGTTTTAGATGGTTGCAACAGTCTAATTACTGTGTTTTGTAATAACTAACTTATGTCATTTACAGTTGGTGGCACCAACATAAAAAACTAATGTTCTGTTGTTTAAAATTCAGCTAGATACAAGCAGTGACACTAATTTCTGATACTACTCCTGTGCAAATTAAAAACAATAGCAACAAGTTGAACTTGACCAGCAATTGTTTCTAACATTACAACTACTGAATGCTGGAAAATTCACATTAATGAAACTAACACTATTTTTGGCAGTATATGAGGCGCATTTGCTTTCTACAGGACATGTATCCTCATATTCAGTCATTTCATGAACCCTTAAGAGCCACATTTTTTAAATGGGCAAAGCCATTATAGAAAGAACAGTTCATTTTTTTTTTTCAAGAAAATCAGTTTTTGTCTTTTTTTCTAAAAAAAAAAAAAAAAAGAAGAAGAAGAAGAAGAAAACAAGCAATTTGCCTGTTGGTACTGAATCCCAAAGGGCTGGCTTAGTAAGTTCCTTTAGGGCTGTCTCCTTTATCCATGCTTAATAAATAGTCACAGTAAAAATTTGTCAAATATTCATGGTTGTGGAGTGGTTATGAAGGTCAGTGATATGTCCCTTCACGCTGAGGTTTCACAAGTCAGTTCTCATTCCAGATCTTCAGATAAAGGCTCTTCTTCAATCTCTCTGTCGTCTTCTAATTCTGGACTGTGATTAGCTGTTGTCACTAAGGACATTGGGCAGTCTTCATCCTCTGCAATCACTGGCTCTTCCTTGACGTGGATTGAATGTCTGAAAAACATGTAGATACACCAAAATTTTACTAAGTAAGCAACAAACAGAGTTTGGCCAACTTTGCAGTGAAGAGGTCAACTGAAAAAAGGCAAGAAGACACAACATTGTCTTTCTTAAAAGGGCATCTGATTGATTGCGTGAGCTGGTTAGAGACATGATACTTTACAGTAGAACTGTGGAGGCAGGGATTCAGAGTAATGTGAGCATGGACTCCCACATGCTGTGCTGTTTAGGTAAAACATCCGTTTCTCAGCATTCTTTCTGAATGAAATGTTTTGTTAGTATTTGTTATAACATGATAATCAAGGAGTGGTAGTAAAGGAATAGTAAACAAATAATTAATCAACAAATGAAAACACTTTTACCATTCAGTTTTTTGCTAGCAATTAAGATAACAACTGTTATTTCTAAATATTTCAGACTTGAGTTTAACAATTTTATTTCTATTTTTTTTTAAACTCTCCAGTATAAGCTAGATTGGGTGTTTGTTGAAACAAATACTAACAAATTTCAGAAAATAAACTGGGGCTAAAGCGTCTTCATTACCAGGATGCCAGTACTATTTTCAAGCACATATTTATATGTTTGTGTGTGTACATACATTATGTAATTAAAATTTTGTCATGAATACACCAGCCACAGCAATATAATTATAGAAACTTAAACAACGTATATGCTGAAGTTTATTATCCCTCCAACCCCAAAATATATTAGAAAGGTCACTGTGATCTGAGAAAAGCTATGAAGGTTCACAGATAGCACCTGGTGGAAAAATATTATATATAAATAATCAAATTTTTTCATCCTTTTTACCCCTGAAGCAAGAGAAGACCTGCTTTTTTATCTTGTTAATAGAAACCGCAATCTCTCATTAATATGCAGGGCTGGTGAGCTGCTTCTCAAGAGGAAAACCTGCAGCAAGGCTTTGCCATTAATCAACTTCAGCCCAGCAGTTCAGTGAGACATGATGATACATGTTTTTAACTCTAAATTAATGAATATCTTTACCAACTGTCAATAAATGAAGAAAAACACTGGTGAGGAACACAAGTTGAGGTGGGAAATTTCCAAACACAACAGAGTGATGGGGAAGTGGGCAACTAACAAGAATAATAATGCTGTCACACACAAACAAGGCTTAACATGATCCAGGCCCTACTCAAGGAAAGGGTTGTGCTGCAATGATAAATCTGCCAAAACCTAATTATTTTTGACACATTAGATGCATCAGGGAATCGCTGTGAAAAAGATTCCTTATCAAGTAGTTTTTGCATTAGAAAGTGACTGAACCTGCCAGCCATCTCTTGGGCTACATTCTTCAATGAAAGAAGTAACTTTGAATTTTAAAAGGTACAGATTGCTTTAATATTCATTGCAAAATAACTTATTATTCAAACCTTATTGGGAAACTCTAGGTTTTGTTTTGCTTTAGCCTTTGTTTTTGTTGTTTGGTGTTAGTAAATTATACGTTTTTTAGCTAGTTTGAACCAGGCATGTTGAAATGCAAAACTAGGCCAAAAAAAAAAAAAGATGTGTGTGTGTGTGTGTGTGTGTGTGTGTGTGTGTGTGTATGCATGTATGCATGTGTTTGTGTGTGTTTGTAGGAGAGAAGAATAAAAGGAAAAATTAAAAGAAAGGAAAAGGACAAGCACATTAAAAAAAAAAAAACCCTGAAGTTTATGAAAAAGTTTTATCTCATTTTTTACTTCACAAATGGCTTTTGCAGTTTCATCCATACTAACGAACTACTTGTAGCCATCTCTATTGGTCTATGTATATGTATGTATATATGTGTGTGTGTCTTCTTAGTTTTAAAACGTGACAAATATTTGATATAAGAGGCTAGAAAATTCTTGAGAATTCTCTTCATGAGTTACTTCTTAATGTAAGATTCACAGAAAAATTTAAAATTTAATTAGAACTCATTACATAGTAAATAAAATATCCTTAAATAACTAATTCAATGTGAATGATTACCTAGGGATGTAAATTTATTTTGGTTGGAGAGGGTCCCTTGAGCTTTATGACAAAGAAAGGCTTCTAAAAGTACTGTCACATATATTTATCATATGGTAACAAACAATCCTAGAGATATGTACTTAAAAATATTAAAGAGAGACAAATGAGTCTAGACTACACAAGGTCGCTGCAGTCATAAAACATAGCAAAGCCTTCTCCTAATGTGAAAAACATAGCTTACAGCTTTAATTTGCATTAATTATAAATCAGTAACATGCTTGTGTGGTTTGAAAAAGCGAGAAAAATTATTAGTTCTCTCAGTCACTTTACGCTATATTAAGATGTCTGGATGAGTCATTTAGTATTTAATGAGTAGCAAGCATTATGAAGTCAGAAATAAATGTGTACTATGTATCTTTGAATTCATTGCTGCAATTGGAATGAGACACTTGCATATTATGACAGGATTATTACCAGCAATCATGCACAGATATGCTGGGGATGCAAATAACGTCATTAGCAGGGTATTGTAATGAAATAAGGTGTATTGTCATTCTTTATGGTGACACAAACCATATTAGCTATGCTCCAACTGGATTTGTAGAACATAGGGAAGTTGCTTTGCTTGGGTGTTCATCAAAACTCTCCCGTAAACTAAATGGAAATAACGCTTAATCAATATAAAAATCTATATGCCGTAGAATCAAATAATATTTAGGAAACTCTTATCACATGATAATTCAAAGCTCAGAAACAGACATTTCACGTTATTCAGCAACAAGTATACAACATTTATAAAAGTTCCTAAATAACAAAGCACTTAGGGCACTTTAAAACTCATTCAATATATTACTATAGTGCATGCAAATTCAAAAAACATTTGGATCCTAGAAAGTTCAACTGCAATGGAATCCTAATGTCCCTTTGAACGTGCTCATTGACATTATTCCAGAAGTGTTCGGCTCATTAAAAGAAAATGTCTTAAAAATTTTATAATAATCATAATTTAAAAATAATTATATTAAAAAGTATACGTGCTCAGAATATTTTAATAACTTTGATACACACAAAATTTTTAGATTTTATTTTCATAGCTATTTCCAGATGTCCTTATAGAGACATATTCTTTTAAGCAAAAGCAAACAAAGAAAAACAAACAAAATGTTTACCAATCTTGAGAAAATGAAGATATATACATTATTTTGCCAGCAATGAGACAAGACAAAATTTGAAACTGAAGTTAAAATTTGAACTGGATATTAGAATGTGCTACAAGAACATTTACTTTGATATTTCCGTAGTGGCCTCTAAAAAGCCGAACATTAAAAGCATAAAGACTTAAGTATTGGCCAGGCGCTGTGGCTCACTCCTGTTATCCCAGCACTTTGGGAGGCCAAGGTGGGTGGATCACTTGAGGTCAGGGGTTCAAGACCAGTCTGGCCAACATGGTGAAACTCTGTTTCTAATAAAAATACAAAAATTAGCTGGGCATGGTGGCATGCACCTGTAATCCCAGTTACTCGGGAGGCCGAGGTGGGAAAATCACCTGAACCTGGGAGCAGGAAGTTGCAGTAAGGCGAAACAGTGCCACTGGACTCCAGCCTGGGTGACAGAGTGAGACTCCATCTCAAAAAAAAAAAAAGAAGTATTATAATTTCAGGTATTGCATAGACTATAGTATAAAAAAAACTTATTATTTGTAAACTATTTGATTAGAAATGGCACTACATATATGAAAGTATATTTAGATGGGGCAAAAAGTTTAATACAATTCTAATTAGTTTATTTTGTCACTAGTGTTATATGGTGAAGACGGTTCACATTTTGGCTTTTTTTTTAAAAAAAAAAACACCGGTTTTCCTCTTGATATTCCTGGATCATCCTTATTAAGTTCATAGTTCATCTTATGACAACTTTTTTTGAAGGGTGGAGTTGCTTTAGCAGCTCATCTTTTCCCTAGACACTGTATTATTTCCTTTAAAAGTGAATAGTTGTAAATGAGATTCCAGAACATTGTAACTGTTATTAGAGGAGTATCACAGATATAAGAAAAGTACTTTAAAGCCCATCAGAAAAGCCAATTCTGGGGTGACAATTTCTGGAACTGTTCTAACATTTTGCATGCATGGGCAAAGAACACTGGAATTTCCCAAATGTTGCTACTGTATCAAGCTACTATCAGCTTTAATCTCTCAATTCTCAGTATAGATTACTCCCTAGGGATAGGTTAGAGACTACTCGAAGTGGCCATTATAACGCCATTATTGCACACTGTGGGGTAAATCATGAAATTATATTTTAGCCAATACAAATAAAAAGCCAAGAAGAGTTTGTCATTGATAGTTAACGAAACTGAAGTTATTATGCTTATGTTTCATGCTAAATCCAAAGCACTATATTATTTATATAAGGAAAACTATCATAGTTTTAAGTCTCCAAGGTACTATTTGTTATCCTGCATGACAAATTATAAAATAAAACCATAGGCCCCCAAATAACTAATACTATGTATTAAAGAATTACTTATAAATAAAAAAATAGGACTCTACTGTATGCATATGACTAGTTTGTAGGTACTATTTAACGTGATAAATAAACTATTTGGTCCTAATGAAATGTTCCATAGCCAATTTGCAAGTTAGAAATGTGCTATCAGGAAAACATGCACCACTGGGAGAGGGGGAAAGATCTGCACATAAGCATGTGTGCTTGTGTATGAGTGTATACCCATAGGTGATTTCAGAATAGTAAAAGCCTAAATCCATAAGAGATGTTTATCAGTGTTATTTTAAAGACTAACCCAACTATTCTGACTAAAAAAAAAAAAATCAACCAACTGAACTCAACAACTACTTTGAATAAATGGTTCATTGAACTAGCCAATAGTTTGAGTAAAATAATAGATGAACCAACTAGTATATTACAGTTTCATGTAGACATGTACAGAATTTTAAACATTTATTAAATCTAATGTTAATATTCCCAAAGTACCCTCTAAAATATACAAATGAAATCTTCTAATGAGATTACTTGTGAAAGTTCATATTCATTTAATGACTTTTATAAAAAATGACATTTTGATTTAATAATAGTTATAAGTTGAATTTATAATTTTAGATTTTCCTGGTTTAATCTGGGATTCAGAACATTTTAGAGAATGCTAAACTCTTAAGTGCTGGAAATAATTAGAATAAACTCCTAAGGTTAATATAATAGCACCTTTTTCTAATTAGGTCTCACAAATGACCTGCGAATATTCAAAACTTTCAGGCTTTAATAGCTGAGTATTTCTAAATAGATATTGAGTTACTGTCAAGCCACATACATAGATATCTAGCAGTGGTCTAGGCGACTGCCTTCAAGTCAATAAGCATTATTTTGGGCATCCCATAGTTTTAGATACAGATGTGAGCTCTTGTGCAGGAGTGTGTTTTAATATACTCAGGACACTTGAGAAGACCTCGGAGGTCCCCCTCCTCTGACAGTTTCTGAATTCCCTGCTGCATTTCAACTGTTTCCTCAGCAAAACCACTGCAATATCATATGCATCTGGTTCATTTGGGTTAACCTTTCTGGGTTGGGTTTTATTTGAATAAAGAACCTCGTGGAAAAATCTCAAGTTCTTGATAAAGAGGAATAACAAATAGGATGTATTATTTAGAAACAAGCACATAGAAGCCATGTTTGTAGTTCCAGCTACTTGGGAGGCTGAGGTGGGAGGAATGCCAGCCTGGGCAACAAAGCAAGACCCTGTCTCTAAAAAAAGCACATAAAGAAAAATTTTTTAAAAGAATGACTAAAGAGGTATGTTCTATTGTAGTCTCAGAAAATTTTAATATGCAAGAACTTTATTTATTTCATTATGCCACTGCCCTGTATAAAAATATGTCTGAACTGAGACACGGGGTTGAAAGAGGATTAAGCCAAAACCCTTCAGCCATTCTCAATAAACTATGATCTGATCTCCACCTATCTATGTACAACAATATTTCTGAATAATAACTTCCATTTCAGACTCAAAACATCATCCCAGAAACATTGTTTTCAGTTCCTACTCCAAGACATTTTTCATGGAGACTCAGGCTGTGTTTCCCCTTTCAACTCTCCGTGTATACATGGAACATCCTTCTACCCTGTTCTGCCTATTCACACACATCCTGTCTACCACTTAAGGATCAACTCACACTGTGTCTACTTCCTAAAGACTTCGACCTGTCCACATTTCATTGATCTACTCTGAACCTTCAAAGCATTTTTTGGTCATTCTGATGCTCAAAACTACAGAATCTTTGAATCCTAAAACTGGGTCTAATGTAACGTTATTGTTATTTGACTTCCCATTTTACAGATGAGTAAAGGAGTGACTGTCCAAGTGTCTGCATACAGGCACAGCAAAGACAAACACACACACTGGCCTCTAGAAAGTTTCTTGGAACCTTGTTATTTCTGCTACCCCATATTGCCTTAATCACATGCACTGTCACTTAACTCTTTCTACTGGTAGCTATACTTTATCTTGCCAAGTAGACTGTGAACTTCACAGATTAGGAGACATTACACATAGCACACTGTAAATACATGTTGAGTGAATAAATTACGTGCCATGAAAGCATTAAGAGTTTCATTGTACTAATTCTAATAGAGAAGATACCTCTCTGAAATTAAGTATGCTTGGAATATTTTCCATTCAGAACTAGTGAAAAAGATATCAGAGCTGGAAAAGCTGTACATAAAATTTTCCCCAATGGCTACAATGTTAGGCTGCTAATTTCCTAAAATAAAGCAAACTAAAGTCAATAATTATTAATGCTCAATTTTTAAAAGATCTATTTGCCATCAATATAATATCAGAGGAAGAAATAAAAAGTAGCAAGAGAAGTTTCAACATTCCAGAAAATAAAATTGCTTGAAAGTTACAGTACCTATGCCTATAAATTGGTGGAATACTTTTCAATAAAAATAAAATTTCTATTATAATTATCTCTATTTATATTAGGTTTCTCATTTTTGGATCTCAAAGTGCTCCATGTTTTCACTTGTCAAGTTATATGCCAACTCAAAAGAAATGGAACACAATGAAGTCACATGCCTTTTGTGGGTTGCAGGATGAATAGAGAATTAGTCTCTTCTTGTGACCATTGGCAATTTCTTTCTCTTTTTGCCCCATTATAGGATATGAGAGCCATTAAATTTATTTCCAAAAGAAAAAGTGGATATTTCTGTGGTGTTCATTTCTGCAAATTCCTCAAGGTGCCATGTGTTACACTACCATAGGATAATTAGGTTTTCTTCTACAAAAATGCTTCTTTCCAACATAGAAACATCCCTGACAATTCAAATAAAATAAAAGAATCCCTTTAAAGAAACTCTCTTCTGTGCTCACCAATTCTTCATTATGAATCCTCTTCCCATGTAGAATTATCTACAGGTTTTTAATTATAAGAATATAATTTACCGTGATGCATTTTATGTATTTAGTATTTTGATTAACTTCTAAGTGTGGTATAAAGTAATACTGAATAGTTTAGGCACCTCATTTATAATATTTAGTCACGCAGCAGTGATTAAGTGGTTAAGAATATAGTGGGCTTTGAGGATAAAATACTTGGGTTTGAAGCCTGGCTCCTTTACTTCCTAGCTATGCAACCTTGGAAAAGCTACTTAACCTCTCTGTATCTCCATTTCTTTACCCATAAAGCAAGGAAAACAGTGACTACCTTATACACTCGTTATAAGGGTTAAATTATTTTGCATATATGTAAAACACTTGAAATAGTGCCTGGATCATAAGTGATCAATAAACACTGAACACAGTCATAATATATAATAACCTTATAACCTTTTTTGGAAGAAAGTATGGTATAAATACAGAAATTAATTTTTTAACATTGTATGAGTTTCGTTAGCTCTAAAAGTATTTCAGTACCTCTTTCTAAAGTGAGATTTTTATTACTGTATCAAAAAAGTCATGAAACAAAGATATATGTGCCTCACATATCAGATGCCTGGCATTAGAGTTATTAATGACTAGTCACATTTCCTTAAAAGTATATTTAAGGTAATAAAAGGAAATAAAACAACACAACATATTGCTATAGTTATTTCAAAAAATTATTTACCAACAAATTCTGGGTCACTAAAATACTAAGCTAAATGGCCAGGTTATGTCTCAGATCACTTTCAGATCAATAGAAGAAAGTAAATTTCAAAGTAGAGGAGCCATCATTGAAATGCTCTGTACATAGTGCTCCTACATTTATTCTCCTCAGTCATCCATCACAGGCCTCATCATTAGCTTGTCATTAAAATCATTAACACACATGCATTGATCCAGGCCTGCATCACATTTGCTATGCACGTTGGGGCTTATGAAGTTCTGATAATATACATATAGCTAGAAAAATCTTAAATAGATTAACTTAATATGACTAAATAATGAAAATGTTAAGAGATGTAGCAATATATATAAGCCTGTTAGAAAGTAAAATTTTCCTCCAGGAATTCCTTTATGCTGTGGATTGAGTCAAGTCCCCTGTATCTATAATGATGTAAAGAGCATCTATCTCACTTTGACAGGAAAAGCCAATAACATATTAACATTATCTCCTATTGCCAATCTCTAATTTAACAAAAATTTATTGAGTATCTTCTATATATAAGGCACAGTGAGGCTTTTAATATCTATCAAAGAACTTGTAGTCTAGTATAAGAAGAATAAATGTACAAGATTGCCAGCCCTAAGTGTCCTAAGAAAAGCAGCAATTAAGTGATATAGGAGTTAACAATTGGAAAACTTACCTGCCTCTAAGAAGAATGCCAATGTTCTAACAGTATTAAAACACATGTATTCTTAATATAATTCATTAAAGACAGTAAAGTAAGAGCAAGTTCAGATGGAAATAAGAAAGAAATTCTTGACTATCCTAGTGATAAAATCCCCTTTCTGGATCTGAAGATCTCCTCTAGATGGTTCAGACATTCATTATGCCATTTTTCCCCAACTGTTTTGAAATTTATGCACTACTTTCTTTTGAAATTTATGCACTACTTTCTTCAACTTTTTTTTTTTTTTTTTAGATGGAGTCTCACTCTTGTTGCCCAGGCTGGAGTGCAGTGGCACGATCTCGGCTCACTGCAACCTCCGCCTTCCCGGGTTCAAGTGATTCTCCTGCCTCAGCCTCCCAGTAAATTTTTAACATAGCTTAAGGCAGGAGTGTAAGGGGTATAGTCTTTCCAGTGATTCATTTATTTACTGGGCACCTAAAATATGCCAAGTACTTGTATTATTACAGATTAAAGAGTACAAACCTTTGCCATAGAAGGTCACAGATAGAAGGGATTTATGTCTATTTCGGTAGCAGTTTTTCTAAGCCTGATAAAACATCACATTCCTTTAAGGGGGCACTGAAGTAACATCAACTTTGGTTTTAGTGCAAATTACCCATTTGGCAAATAATGAATATTTCTGCAAACCAGAATCCAGGAATTCATTGCAAATGCTTTAAAAATTGTTCTATCCATGAAATAGAAGACTTCAAATTTAATCGATCCTTTCAGTACACAACATTTTCCTTACTACAAAAAAACACCAATTTATGTTTCTTGCTTTAAAAAGGCATAGCCAGCTCCTAATTTAATTTAATTTACATTTGTGAGATTTAGAAACATATTTGGAACTTCTTTAGACAACTGGAGGAAAAGAAGTATTGAGTAATGGAGAGATATAAAGTTTGTTATTATTCCCTGACAGAGGTACAAAGTCAGTAACTGAAATTGAAGTACCTCTAGGAGGATAAAAGTTACTTCTTGTTAGAAGTGGAAAAAAAAATCCAGTCAATAGACATTGTGTGTAAACTTCTGGGATAGGGGCTGCATGGACAATGGTTCCTGTTATCATCAAGTTTTCAGTCTAATAGAGGAGGTAAGACATATATACAAGTAACTTTAACACAAGGCAGAATGTGATCGATGCCACAGTAGGTAAAGTATTATAAAAGGGGAGATAAATTCTGACAATTCAATCAGTGAATGCTCTATGAAGGAGAGTGGTGTAGCTTCACGTAGGCTTTGTAATAGGTGAAAATTTTTATTATGCAGAGATGAGAGAGAGGACATTCCAAGTAGAAATAGGGAAAATGGAGAATCGTAGACATGTTATGGGAACCCTGAGAGTGCATGGGGGAAGGAGGGCTGGTGATAATGTGTGTGTTTGTGTGTGTGTGTTAGAATAGCAGAATGAGGTCAGATGACGAGAAGGCCTTTGAGTTGCATTTCATGATGTTTAAATTTAATCTCTGCTCAAAGGCTATTGATGGTTTTTGAGCAGGATAATGAAAAGGTAGAAGAGTTTTATGAAGATGAATTTGCAAAATATAGGCTTAGTGTAGGACACTGCAGGTAGAGTTGCCAAATGGGAACTTACTAAAACAATGTAATAAGTTAATGATGGTCAGACCACTAAGGTGGTAGGATTAGAAATGATGGAAAGAAGTGAAGAATTTATAGATTGTGGAGTAAAAAGGTTTTGCATTTACTACTTTTAAATTTACAATGTAGGCCGGGCATGGTGGTTCACGCCTGTAATCCCAGCACTTTGGGATGCTGTGGTGGGCAGATCACATGAGGTCAGGAATTCGAGACCAGCCTGGCTAACATGGTGAAACCCCATCTCTGCTAAAAATATAAAAATTAGCCGGGCATGGTGGCGGGTGCCTATGATCCCAACTATGTGGGAGGTTGAGGCAGGCAGATTGCTTGAGCCTGGGAGGTGGAGGTTGCAGTGAGCTGAGATCGCATCACTGAACTCTATAAATTTACAATGTACATGAAATATTTATTTTTATGCTCTACCAAGGAGATAGAAGAGCCTAAATCTGTCAAAAATACTGAAAGTTAAAAATCAATAAAATAGTTAAAATACATCTTAACTTTTCATGACTCTCAAGCAACCTCTATGAATCTTTGTATTTGTTATTTTAATTGCTCAAGAACAATGAAAGCAAATCTCAGAAAGTTTGGATATTAGAAAGTGAAGATGAAAAGATTCTGAAAACAAATTCCCCCACAGTCTTCTCTGTGATTAAGGTGCTAGTAACAGCAATGGCCACAATAACATTGATGTGTGGTCTCCGGACATTTTATTTATTTTTAATTTTTCATCTGTGTTCTTATAGCATTTTAAGGAAAAATGTATTTTAAAACTGAATATTGAAGGAAGGGGCATAAAGTGTTGCTAGTTTCTCAAGCAAAAAAAAAAAAAAAAAAAAAAAAAAGAGTCACTTATTTCCGGAGAGAAGTACCAAAAAGAAAGCATGTAGGGCTTTTTAAAAGTAGGTAACATATACCCTTGAGGGTCTTGCTAAGCATCTCCAAATAATTGGTAAACTTTAAGACATGTCCCTACATATCAGCAGCTTGGAAATTAATGAGCTATAAGACACGGCTCTCAAACTCCTGGGCAATCTCATTTTACAGGTATCCCCATCCAGGCAGGCTGCCTGTCCTGAGGCAAAGGAGTCATTGTTCTCTGAATGAAACCCATGTTTTAGTCATCTTTGCTCATCTCCTCATGTCCTTTACATCTATCCTGCCTTTCCTCATCTCTGCTCAATACTAGGTTGAAATATTTAAGATGGCTATTTTTTAGGAAAAAAAAGTCAAATATGAATAATTTCATAAAGTTCAACCTAAAAATTGACTTCACGTTAAGCCTAACTCAAAATTACATCCTTCATGAAGTCTTTTCCGATTCCCCACGTGCATGTGCATGCTTCAGTCGTTAACTTCACAATTTGTTTGCAACTCTCTTCATTCCTTCACTTGGTCTCTGATACTACCTATGTACTTATCCCTCTATTAGAGTTTTACCTCTGTAGACACTGATCATCTGCCACAGTTTCTAGCAGAGTATGATGCACACAATAGGTGTTCAATAAATGTTTATCCAATTTAAATGAATGAAACTCATCTATGGGTCATTCAACCTCGCAAGCCTCTACTTGAAAACATTGCAAAGTAGCAGTTGATTAGTTTAATCTCACCGTTTTACAGGCACCCTCATTAATGGTATATTCCAAAAACACAAACAGAGGACTAACTACACTGATACACTGATAAACAAATTTGTTGCCTAAAGATATGTGTTGCTTTTGTTGTGAAATTTACCAGTACCTAAGGCACTAATGAACGGCAGAAGTAATGTTAATGCTTGCCTATACCCCAAAGCAAACAGTCAAATTATAAAGGGAAAGTTTATCCTTTTAGATTGTGGTCACACAGTGTATTCCCTAGAGTAATGTAAATTTTATTCATTTTCTCCTTACTCAAGACTAAGTCAAAGGTTCTATAAACCGTTCCTATTTTTCTTTAGAATAAAAAAGTACTATGAATAAAGTTCTCTTAAACTGAGATGTTCAAAATTTAAGTCAATAGATGTTAAACAGAATCGTATGTCTTCTCTTCTTTGCTTATTTAGATACTAGCAACTGTTAATGACTAGAATATTTATATACTGTCATCACTTATGAGAGACTCACTGGCACAATGTAAATTCAATCAGGTCTTAGAAATGTAGTGTTTATTAATTCCATGAAGTTAACAATAAAGATTTTAAGTCTTAAGTTTGTTTTTTTTGTTTTTTTTTTTTTTGTTTTTTGAGACGGATTCTTGCTCTGTCACCCAGGCTGGAGTGCAGTGGCGTGATCTTGGCTCACTGCAACCTCCGCCTCCAGGGTTCAAGCGATTCTCCTGCCTCAGCCTCCTGAGTAGCTGGGACTACAGGCGCGCGCAACCACGCCCGGCTAATTTTTTGTATTTTTAGTAGAGATGGGATTTCATCATGTTGGCCTGGATGGTCTCAATCTCCTGACCTCATTTATGACAAATGTCAACAAATGCTGTTAACAAAACCTTAAAATTTATGACTCATATCTACAATATGGGCAATTTCCAGCAATGTGATGTTAATTTTATCAAACATCTATAAAGCAAGACTAAATTTTAGACTAGATTAAAATTGTTTGTATGTGGTTTACTAATTGCAGGCAGTTCCCTTACATCTTTTCTTATTATAATTCTAGTTATTTGAGAAAATATCCAATACATTCAAATAGCATACCTTTTAAAAGTAATAACCAACTTTTTACAAAAGAAATACATCTTTTAAAAAACCCTATAGATATGATTAGCCTTGTCACCTGTCCTAGCACACCTGAAGGTTATAACATACTTCTATAGTAATCATGGATCATTACTCTAAAAAATGTTACTCCCCAGAGAACATTCAAAAAGCTATCCTCACAAACAGTGTTAGGACTCTGATGCTTCAATTTTATTATGGAAACTGATTTTATTTCATCCAATACAGCAATCTTTATCCTGTCAAATGAACTTACACATACAGTACTTTGAGAAACATATTAAATATACTGAAATACGTGTAGGCCTTGAACTATGCATCTATTACCCATTCAATATAGACTTGTTCAAATCCTTTATTTTAAAGTGTCTTGATCCTTACTTCTACTTAATTTAATTTGGATACCTTTAACTTACGTGGAATACATTAACTAGCTCCGATAGAAAACGTTTTAGGCCGGGTACAGTGGCTCACGCCTATAATCCCAGCACTTTGGGAGGCCGAGGCGGGTGGATCACCTGAGGTCAGGAGTTCGAGACCAGACTGGCCAACAAGAAGAAACCCTGTCTCTACTAAAAATACAAAAAAAAAAAAAAAAAAAAAAAAATAGCCGGGCCTGGTGGTGTATATCTGTAGTCCCAGCTACTCAGGAGGCTGAGGCAAGAGAATCGCCTGAACTGGGGAGGCGGAGCTTGCAGTGAGCTGAGACTGCACCACCGCACTCCAGCCTCGGCTACACAGCGGGACTCCGTCTCAAAAAATAATAATAATAATAATAATAAAATAAAATAAAGAAAATGTGTATAATCCTATGAATTCTTTTTTACCTCTTATATACTGTTATGTCCTAAGTGTTAATTAATGACATTTAAAAATATCAAAATAGACTATTTCTATAGTCATATGTTCCCCATTGATATGCATAGATTTTGACTACTTCTCAAAATAGCATCAAAACCTTCTAGATTAAAAAAATGCTGTAAAAAGATGAGATTTCCTTTTAACCATCTACAATCTTCAGTACTTGGCACAAGATTATTGAATTAATGATGATAACTCTTTGTATCTAAGCATTCAAAATAAATACATGATTAGCACTTTATCAATTTCATACGTGATTGAATAAATTTTCATTCAAATTAGTTCCAATTTGCCAATGGCAAAACCCTCATTCTTACTCTATCACATTGCTGTTTTCAAGATATAAAATGAATTCAAAATATAAGCACAGGATTATTTAAATGTCTTTTCCTGAGCTTAACTTTTGTTTTCGTTTGTTACTTTTGAGTAGCTAACCTGTATTGACTGACATATTGGAAAATATAATCTTGTCAAACAGAACATACAAAAAAAGTATTTTTTTTTTCAAAGACAAAGTTTCACAGGAAAACTGGTAAAATAACTGACGCTCATTTAGGAAGCTTATATAAAAATGGAAATTATGGAAATTCAATTTTACTCATTTCTTTCTAGTATATATAAAGGAAATTACATAATTATTTTTGGAATTTGATGGTAGATTCATGAAAACGACAAGTTTAGTTATCTCCATTTGTGTGAAGCCAGGTTGAAATGATACACAATTCATTTCTTAAGCCTATGTAACTTTTAGAGTAATATTTTGTTTCTCCACTTGGGCAATGTTTTAGTTTATTTAACATATCACAGAAAAAAGCTAATAATATAAGTGACATTAAAGTTTTAAGTAGAAAAGTTCACTTTTAACAGAAATCATATTAATAGTTTTAAAAATGATAGCTGATCTAAGGATAACATAATTAAATGTGAGTAATTAAAGTTAATTATACAGTCATAAATAAATTGTTTATTTCATTCTACTTAAGATTTTCTTCTTTGGAAAGAATAAACCAGGCTTTCTCCACAGAAATTTAGATTTTTACATTCTAAATTTAAATATATTTTAGAAAAGTATTTAGCTCTCTTATTTATAGGACTGAATAAGAAAGATGTCCAATTAAAACTACTAGAAATGAAAAAAGATGTTCTTAACTTTTATCAGCTAAGAAATTATACAACAGAGTTATTACTTATGTAGTTCTTTATTCCCATTTCTTATCTTTCAAGATTTTCTCTTTGGTAAATTAAAATAACGTTTGACATAAAAATTCTAGTGTTAAATGAATTGATCTTTGTTTTTATTTGAATGAGTTTGCGTGTAGTAGCTGCCAGTAGGACAGTACTCAGACTATCACTTCAGTTCTACAGAAATAATCCCCTTCCTTATCCCTTGATGAAAACGAAAATATTCCTTCTTAAAGAAATGTGCAATTATGAAAAGGGGATTCAAAAATTGGAGTGAACAAATGATTCTGCATTCCATATTAACTGTATAGTTTCCTTTATCCAGGATATAAGTAGAAAATGCCCTACTAAATTTCCCACACCTTTTCTCCCTGGCTAATGATAAATATCAAAATAAATTTTAATTTTCATCATAAGCCAGGATAAAAATGTTATCCTCCCTTAGTCTATTTTCTAAAAACTACAGCCACTTACATTGATGGCAAAGGAATATTATTTTCAGATAATTGTGATGAAATTTTCTCTTCTAAGATGTATTTCCATTCTTAATGATGACAGCTTATAATTATGTCTTACAACTCAAGAGATCTGATTCCATGGTGGAGTTATAAAGTTCCATTTAAAGTCAGTATCAGTCCAGCCAGGTGCAGTGGCTCATGCCTATAATCCCAACACTTTGGGAGGTCGAGGCGGGTGGATCACCTGAGGCCAGCAGTTTGAGACCATCCTGGCCAACATGGTGAAACCCCGTCTCTACTAAAAATATAAAAAAATTAGTCGGGTGTAGTGGCAGGCGCCTGTAATCCCAGCTACTCAGGAGGCTGAGACAGGAGAATTGCTTGAACCTGCGAGGCAGAGGTTGCATTGAGCTGACATCGTGCCAATGCACTCCAGCCTGGGCAACAAGAGCAAAACTCCATCTCAAAAAAAAAGTCAGTATCAGTCCAAAGAAACAACAAAAAGGTGGGTAAAGGTCAGTGAAACATAATTTTATAAACTGCATGCATATATATGTATATCAACATTTCTCTAGAATTTCCTGCTCTTACCTTCAACATTATATTGAAATGTATTTAAATTTATGCAATATTGTTTAAAGGAACTAGATTTTACATGATTTAGGCTCACTCCCAAATGATTTCAGATAGTTTTGCTGTAGAGTCAATTTTTAAAAAACACAATGTAATTCTTCAGGATTTATCACTCTATTTGACTTTATAAAAGTGATAGTTGTGACCAAAACAGCTGTAATAAAATGAAAATACAGATGTAATTACTTTCATCATTGATAAGTACAAATATATTGTGCCCAATCTCAGACACAAATTAGTTGGCCACTGAGATACAATTGGTACCATTCCAATTTGTGTCTCATAAATGAAAACTATCAATAAACATTCAGCTGTGGATCTAAGGACCCTTATAGTTCTAATCTGTTGGCCAGACAAATCAAGTCTAAATCACATCTTGACACTTTGCCTTTAAGTCAGTCTTGTTGCTGCTCCAATTCTCCTTTGAATCATTAATCCAAAAATTGTATTATTGCCTTGTTTGTTGGACCAAGTTTCGGTCAAAAATCAGATAGGTAATATGAGTATACGGGGTGTATGTTCCAGTTTATCTGTAATTACATTTAATAACTTGCATTCTGGCTCCTTGAAGATCTTGACCTCAAAGTCCTGTAGTTGAGCCCTACTGCTGTGGCCGCTCTTTTGGATGTGGCTTACCCATTTTTCTCAACTGTTATCTATTTCCTATTACCAAACTGCCCTATTGGAGTTGTTACCCATCCGCTGCTGGCTCCTGGTGAAGCTGTCTCTTGGAATACCTTTACAGAGGCTACTTTCCACCTGGACTACATATTGCTCATGTCACTAGGTCTGCCTAATTTCTGAGACTGACTGCTTTGCTGACACTATTCCTTTGCTCAAATTAAACCACAGAACTGACTCAAACTCTGGCTTTCTCCTGAGTTGAGTTTTGCTTAGTTATATACTCTATTAGTTCTAAACATTAGATGAATAAGGAGTAAAAGTAATAGGTATTTTTTTTTTTGAGATGGAGTCTCTCTCTGTCACATTGGCTGGAGCACAGCGGCATGATCTCAGCTCACTGCAACTTCTGCCACCTGGGTTCAAGCGATTCTCCTGCCTCAGCCTCCCAAGTAGCTGGGATTACAGGCCCCCACCACCGTGCCCAGCTAATTTTTGTATTTTTAGTAGAGACGGGGTTTTGCCACATTGGCCAGGCTGGTCTTGAACTCCTGACCTCAGGTGATCTGCCCACCTCGGCCTCCCAAAGTGCTGGGATTACAGGCATGAGCCATTGCACCCGGCCAACAATATGTACTTTTTATTCTAAATCTAGTGCACCATGTCCTTTCTTTGACTTGCTAATTAACAAAAGGAACCTCAGATTTAATGTTGCAAATATACATTTTTTTATAGTAAGATAACATTGTGTGATCAATGGTGACTTATCCTCCTACCTTTTAAGTGTCTTGCTGATTTTACTCCATTTTGTCTTCAAAACGAAGATAATGTTGAACAAACTAAACAATGTTAGTTTTCAGTAGTTATGTGAAATGATTTGATCATCTGTTGCTTATATAAATTATTTAATGCTATTCTAATGATAGAAACTGGCTATGGAATGTAGTAACCCTGTGTTTCTTGGTGTTGAAATATTCAAGTATAACATGTTACTTCTGTGAGTGGTAAATGTTAAATTCTGCCAGAGCAGTCAAAATGCACATAATTTTAACATACATTAAGACATAATTTCTTATCATGTAAATTACCTTCACATAAAGGAATATTCTGAAATAACAGTTGACTTTATGTAAGTCTCTTTATTTATTAAATGCCTCTGGTCACCAACATATATCCACTTCCCAAGTCCTATGTTGAAAGCTGAAATTAAAATACCATAGCAGTACATAAGATCTTCATTTTTTTTTCCCTGGTACTGAAAGTAGGAAAAAGTTAACACTGAAGCATTATTCCTTCTTTAACAATTCAGTAATCATTTTTTGACCGTTAGAGAAAGGAAATTTTTAAGGCTCAACTAGTGTTAGTGCAAATGAAGTTGTATGTTCTAACAAAGTACCTTCTTTAGATATAAAACAGAAGCAGTAAGCTACAATACTGTCAGCTAAAAGTTTTCTGACACACTTTGCCTAAATTGTGGGAATTCACACCACGGATGTCAGATATCATCTGTATAGTTCTATAAAAATCCTTCAAAACCCTATAGGAACCCACAAATTTCCACAATTGGCACGGTGGGGATATAACACTTTTTAGCTAAAGGCACTGTATCTCTGGGAGGATCTTTTTATTAAGAGGAACTGGAATGAGTTGTAAGTGCCACATATGGGGACTGGAATAATGTAAAAAAGAACAGCAGCTACTGATCCACACTTGTAGCACTTAAAAAAAAAGATGAGATGATAAAGAGCTGGCATAATCATAAGTTCCGTACAATCACTTTGGAAAGAGATCTCAAAGCTAACTAGCAAAGTTAATCAAAAAGTTTAGAGATTAAATAAAAATGGAATTAAATCAGAAGAAAAATTGTAAGAGGACCAGAAATGTTAGAAAAAAATAAAGTTGACTGAAAAATTGTTAATTAAAAAATCTATGAAAACATATGTGAGGCAAAAAAAAAGCTTTCATGTTTAGAGTTTTGCAATGCAACATAATGATCCAAAACATCAGCAAAAATAGTACAGGCTTAACAGGAATGAAAACAATGAGAAAGAGCATTCCATTTGCTCAAGTTGTCAGTCACTTCCAACTGCTTTCCTCTGAAATACAGAGCCACTCCAATTTCAAATGCTTTTGTCCACAGAGAGATCTAAGATCTGCAGGGATTTTATATAAAATATCAGCAACCAAAGATGTAGGGCCTGCAAATTCTACATGTGCCTACAAATAGCAATTTAAATTTTAAGGCAGCCAAAGAGAATAGAAGGAAGAAATGTAATATTATATACTTATGTTTTCATTATGTTTTATGACAATTCAAAGTTTAGATTTTCAATACTGTTTAATCCAGTGGGGGTCTAGGAGCACCTTTTAGCTATCTATGGGGCAAAATATTATCAACAGGAGAGGCCAAAGTATAATATTGAAATGATTTAACAACTGAGGTTATGAAGAAGAAGAGGATGTCGTAAAGATGACTGGGGTATGTGATGTATACAAAGTTCTGGAGCATGTTGAATAGGTATTTGACATGCAAATTTTAAAAAAATCTTATGATCTCTATTGCAATTCTGAAATAATACTACATTACTCATTTTATATGACACCTCAGCCTTTTATTTTCTTCTCCTAAGGGTTTGCCTTCTAAGGACACAATAAATTAATTTTCTTATATTATATCCAATATATTAACGTTCTATATAAAAGATTTTTAACTTTCAAGCTTCAGATAATTGCTTTACTAACAGGAGAAAATAATAATCACCTACAACGAATATAGAATATTTAGCAAGCAAAACTTTGAAATGACATAGAGGCTAAGAGGAGTCACGAATGACATATAAGAAAGGATCTGAAAACTCAACAGTAGGAGACTCTAATAATCAGAAAGGGGAATGACATGACAATGGGAGGCTTTGTGAGTAAAGCACTCCATACAAAACCAGCTAGGGAAGAATATTTATTTTGATCTCTAGACACAACATTTGAAAATATAAAAATGGGAATCTCATTTAACATTTTATACGAGGAAGAACAGCAAATCTGAACCAACTTATTGAGAATGAGGAGAAACAATTACTTAATACAAAAAGAAACAACTGAGTAGAACTAAACATGGTGGGTACATCATTAAATTCCACTTCTTGCCTTAGGTTGGGAAGTAGACAGGAAATGGATTGATTGTATCAGTATGCGTTCATCTTCCAAGTCTAGTCTACATGTTTTCTTCTCTTGTCATTCACTTAAGTCCAACACATGAGAGAAGACAGTAAGTTCAAATTATTTCTGCTTAAAGACAGCATCAATCCTAACCTTTTAAACATTTCTAGAGGTAAATGTCTATATAAAATAGGAAGCTAGTCATTTTTAATTCATATTCTATATAACTCTGAAAAAGGGAATATTGGCATTCAGGTGCATAAGGGAACAATATTATAAATTGTAATGATACTCAGCTCGGACACTTAAAGTATCGTTTTCCTTTATTCATACCATGGATGTTTCTAGGACTCTTTGAACAGCAATAGAAAATAAAAATGTTTTAAAAGTGAAGTACTTGCTTTGAATCAATAAGTAGTTGAGTCAAAACAGTCAAAGAAGTTTCAAAAAATTATTATGTAGAATCTATACAATGTCGCCTGGCTTTAACCTTTCCTACTTTTTGCTGAAATCCCCTTAAACATTCATCTGATTTATATTGCCTAAATTTTGATAATTGTTTTCAATCTTTCAACAATGTAAATAAAATTTAACAAGGTTGAGATGATAATCATGAATGAGGTGAAGGGGCCTCATTCTACTCAAAGTGGAAAGCCACTTTTTACTCACGTAAATTGGAATGGTTATAAAATACATATTAATTAAATAATTAAAACTAAAAATAAAACTTAAAAAGTATAGTCTACCAATATTTAGAAAATTTTCCTAGCTCCCACATAAAAATGAACATTATATTTACTCATCTGTTCTTCCTAAAATCTCTTTTGTTCTCCTTCTTCAAGATTCTAGGAGAACCCTGGATTTTATACTCCTGTAAGTATGACTTTGTGAAGTCAAACCATTTCTAATTAACTGTAATCTCCAATTTGATTCTTCATAATCAGTATCATACTTTTACTGAATGCTTACTTGACATAGTAGAATGTGCTAGGGGTTTCTTATACTATAATTTGTCTAAAACATAATCTGTCTTTAAGGGACTTGTCATTAAGGTAGGGATATCTGCAAAATGAACACAGATGTATGCATAAACACACGTGCATGTGTGTGTGCACACACACTCACACATGTACACAAAGTATTAGTCCAAAATAGTGGTATAAGAAGCAAGCTCTTTAGAAGTGTGGAGCAGAGTGCATGGTCCTGATAGTAAAATTCCTTGGGAAACCCTCTTGGAAAAAAATAGGACTAGTCCTGTAAGGAAAGGTAGAATTTAGGTAAGAGAGTAGAGGGGAACCAGAAAAGGGAAAGGGCAGAAATTCAAATAGTGTGAGCGAAATAAATGCATTAATTTGGAAGAGGCCTTTATTCAGGACACTGAATAAAGCGAAAACTGGAGTGGAAGAAAAGGGTTAAAATATGGAGTATGGAATATAAATGATAATTTGGCATCTCTTGTTCTCCACAATTTATAAGAAGCACCAGACCATATCTATTTCACTCTTCTAATGCTTCAAAAAACATCTTCTCTATCAACCTCAGGTATATATTCATATTCTACCACGTAGAATTTTACTATAATGGAGTTGAATTAAAAGACTAATCAAAAAAATCATCAGTGTTTTCTCCTGAATCTAATGATATTTAGGTTCTTAGATTCCCCAAGTAAAATGCTGAATTCTTCATCTTCCCTTTTGAACCTGCTTCTTGTGTCCTCTATTTCTCTTTGCAGACTTTTAAAGTGGCTATGAATTTTCCCAATTTTCATCTTTGTCCCTAGCATTCAGTTGGTTGTCTTGTTCCAGTATTTCTTTTCACAGCACTTCTTATACGGATTCTTTGCTCTCCACTCCTAGTCTTGTATTTATGTTAGATATTACATACTGCAAGAATTAATTTTCTGCTTCCAGTCTCTCCCAATTTCAGAATATTCTCCTATACATGAGTTTCATTAAGTCATGGTTCATTCAGTACACTTTTAGATTACTGTTTCTAATGCATAGCTCTGATCGTGTCAAAGTCAAGCTGATAACAGTAACAAGCTGTATACTGACTGAAACAAACACCATAGCTTGATATTTAAGTCACTCAGCAGTCTGGTCCCACTTCCTATATTCTAAATTCTGTATTCCCTTATGTATTCTAAATTCCTTTCAAAACTAATACTCAATGTTTTCAAGACATATATGATATGTCCCTGATTCTGGGTTGGTGTTGTTCTATTTGAGTTGTTCATTGCCTAAAACTTCAGATAACTAGGTAACTTCAGATACCTAAATATAGGTAATGTGCTACCTATAATAAGTCCTTGTGTCATATTGTTTCACTTTTTATTTTTAGAGACAGATAGAGTCTCACTCTGTGGTGCAGGCTGGAGTTCCATGCCATGATCATAGCTTACTGTAACCTCGAAATCCCTAGGCTCAAGCTTTCCTCCTGCCTGAGCCTCCTGAGTAGCTAGGACTGTATACAGGCACACACCACACCCAACTAATTTTTAAAATTATTTTTGTAGATACAGGGTCTCACTATGTTGTCCAGGCTGGTCTTGAACTCCTGGCCTCAAGCAATCCTCCTGCCCTCCCCTCCCAAAATGCTGGGATTACTGGCATAAGCCACCATGCCTGGCCTCATGTTGTTTCAGTTTTATGGATCTGCTTACTTTATGAATTATAAGAGAAGAAAGAAGGAGAAGAAAATGGATTGTCAATGACTAACCACAAACTTACAGAGTGCCTTAAAATGCAAAATACAAAAATATTTTCATATTGTTTATAGACTCATTTTTAGTAACAGTGAGGTATTACAGGAAGTAATATAAATCAGTACCTATTTACACAGCACTATGAGAGACACAAGGAGCAATTATTATGTTCCAGGCACTCATTTCTTTGCAAGAATCTTATGAAATAAGAAGCATTATATTATTACTTACCTCATTTTCAGCTGAGAAAGCTGAGGAAAGAAATATTAAGTAACGTGCTCAATCCCACTTGGCTATTAACTATTGAATCTGGAATTGGAACCCTGACAGTCTGGCATTACAACCTATGTTCTGATACCACTAGGCCCTATTTCCTCTTGTTTACAATTGCATCAGCACAACTACCCCCCTCTAAAACAACAAGTAACATGACTTCATTTTAGGAGATATAAGTATGCTGTGTAAATGTCTTATAAAAATTATTTCACTTCTGTTTAATTTCCAAAGTATTTTGAAATGCACTCAATTATATACAACCAAATTTTGACTGAGAGAATTATATCAATATTTCTTCCTTTGCCTAATAAAATACATAACATGGTTTAAGTACAAGCATCTTAGAACTTTATAAAGGTGAAGATAGAGAATACTGAAATATTTCATAAATATTTGACATCTATTATGCAAAAACCTAATGACAGCAGCAGAAACAGATTTAAGAATGAATATTGACTCAATATTCTGCAAGATAATTAAAATTTTGATTATAATTGATGTAACTTAGAAAAAGGGACAATTTACACCCCTTTTAATTTTTATTTTTTCTGAAATCTATTTTCAACAAGCTTTCCTTTTATCTATGGAAAATAAACATAAGTATTTTTCAAATGCACTAATTCATATAAGCATAAAATGTGTTATATATTAACTATGAACATTTTAACTTTATAAACCCATAGCAGCAATATACTGGACATTATATGTATAATTTTTAGGTGTTATCTAATACATACTAATATTTCTCTGAAATATTTCATAAACTTTAATAATAAAATGAAAAATCTGAAGTAGCAATTGCCAAACGAAAACCAATACCCATCTAACAATGCTACAATTTAGCCCAATTATTATTTCAGGTTCTGAAATATAATGTTTAATAAACTATTTAGCATACTCAGGAGAACTGCTGAAAGTAAAAGGCCGCAAGCTACCCACTGCATGGCTGATAGGATAAAGCGGGGATATAAAAACTTTTGTCTGATTGCTCACTTTCCTTGTTTTAGAATACTGCTACTCTCAAGAGCATATATTCATGTTCTTTCTACTTTGAGTTTTATTACTTCTTTTGTATTATTTAATACATCTAAAGACACTTCCAAAAGACAAATTTTTCCATTTTGAAGAAGTAATGGTTCGGAACCTGATAAAACACATTAATGTTCACAGTGTGTTTTTTTGCAAAGGTGATAGAGTAAAAGTGCTATAAAGCAATTAGACATATGCTCTTAAAGACATTAATATGTCAAACAGAATAAAATGTTTAAAAAGACAACAAAAATAATACCCTGTGAAAGGTCAAGTGAAAATGGGTACATATAAAGAGTATATTTCTCTTTCAGACCTTTTACTAGATATTGAATGGAAAAATAAAGGAAGACAATATAAAAATAAGAGAAAGGACTAATCTTACCTCAATAACTTGTAATTAGAAGTATGTGACGTTTAATTCTAGGAAGTATAGACATGAGTTACAACTCATCCTGACAGCTAAATGGTGTACACACTTCATTATTCAGATTCAAATTTTTTTCCTCTGAATTCTGAGTTCTACCACGGTCAATACATTTTAGTAAACAAGACACTAATATGCTTGACACTATTGAAAAAAGCCAGGCATTTTTTAAAGTGTCATACACATTTCTGAAATCCACAATACATCAATTTTTAATACTTCTACTCTCTCAGCTCCATTAAAAAGATGGTAGGGGAAAGATTTTAGAGTAATTAATGATATAGTTAGCTGCTAAATATTAATAGGAATCGTAGTCTTGCATAAAATATAACTTATAAACCTTGCCAATACAGACGCACCAGTAATTAAAGTTGAATATATAATTACACTGATTTATAAGACAGGCAAAAAGTTACACTTTACTAGCTTCTATGTAAACTGTGGGTAACAGTTAAACTTTGCATTTTACGGTTTATAAAAACGGGCAATATCTTGACTACAGTTCATAAATGGTTTAGAGACCTGTAACAGTAGTAAAAATTATAACAACTTATTCCATCATGAATATTCTTATTGCACCATACAAACCAACCTGTGATAATGACCCATAAGATGTAGATTCATCTTAGACACTGCTTTATGCCCAAGAGAACATTAGTAGTACTAAGAATCTGTAGAGGACTGCTGGAACAATAATGATATGGCATTTGAGATCATCTAAAAAATGTATTAAAACCGATTTTGATAAACTTTGTCATATTATGAACGTGGTATAATTTAACTCCACTTAAATTTGTATTTTCAACTTATACAACAGTAAAAACTTCGGAAAAATTCTAAATTTAAGAAGCATATTAATATAGATTCTTCCCTTTAGAGAGTCTGTTAACCACACTTACATGTGCGGCTGAGGTGAGCAGCCCGGACTACTGTTTCCATTGCTGTCAATGTGATCCAGAGAACCATTGAGGTCTTCGTGGACGGCCTGCAGTAGGCCACTGGATGCATTATTTATCAGTCCAGGATTACTTAGCAAAGGTAAACTGCTCTCTGCCAAGGCAGCCTAGTGAAATGAAGATTGTGTAAAACAACTTTCAAAATGGCATTTAAAATAATTTTTAAAACATGTATCTTCTTTTAATGGGTTCCAATAAGGAAATAGATATTTTAGAAGGATTAAAAGAAAATGTATTGAAAAAAAATTCCTAACTGGCTACTTGTGGCAGAGATGCAAGGAAATTAAGTGCGATGTGAAAATATAAACAATCGTCCTTGCAGCAAACTTTCTCACTCATGTTTCAACCTTTGGCATAATGAAATGTTGAATCCACACATGTAATGAAATACTCCAGTTTAATATAAGCAGTTGCTCTGCTTTTTAAAAATGACCAGAACTTAACTCAAAATAAAGAAGTCCTGACATTTGCCTCCTCTGCATAAAAATTATATATTATAATTAAACTTTAAAGTTTTTGCCACAAGCACCATGTTCCCCAACACTATGATGTGAAATCATTTATGACAGCCTGGATAAATATTAATGCATAGCCACATGCACTTGCAAAAGCTTCTATCAATCTAGCATTTGCAGAAAAACCGAATGTTCCAGATTTTGCCACAGGGTGTCCTTCTTGCTTCTTCACATCAAAAGTAGCTTGAATTAGAACCAGTGCTGTCTATAGTACTAGGTACTACAACTTGGATGATAAACCAACTATTAAGAACAATCACAATCTCACCTAAATACAAAGACATGCCAAAAAAAAAAAAAAAGCCCTAAACATTCAAATACAACAAAACTGGGAAAGTACATTACCTGCAAACTGGCATTAAGAGCTGCTCCATAGCCTAAACTGGTAGGTATATTTTTTACTAAGGTTGGACTTCTGAAAAAAAAAATATATAAAGATCATTTATACGTCAAAATATAAAACGTGGATATCAATAGTCTCAGCTATAAAGGTATGTTCTGGCTTGTCTCACACTAATAGTCCATACTGGATGTATATAAGGCCACAAAAATAAGGTAATAGAGTTCAAATATATAACCCTTTACATAATACATATTAACTTGATCCAGGAATATAAGAAATGAAACTTTAGACTATGGTGTGCAGGCAAAGTGAGACATGACCTTGAGGATCCTTAAACCTGTTTCTAGTTGTGTGAAGGTTTCATTTGCAAGAACAGCAACATTCATACAAAATTTTTAAAATGTAAATATACAATACAATTACCAATTTGATGCAATCAGGAAATAATTAATGGTTAATTTCTAGAACACCATGAATTAACATAACAAATTACCATAGTTAATTAAATGACAACATAATAGATTAACTATTTCTTGAATGCAGATATTAGCACATACTTGACTATAGAAATCAAAAGTCAAGGGCCAATAGTAGATAAAATACATTAAAGTCATCTCTTCATATTAGGCAGTAGAAGTTTGGGGGAATAAGTAAATTCTACATGGAGTTAATTAAGCACAAAATGTGTTTTACTATATTTTGGACTTAAGTTTGGCAGTCTTGTTCTCTATAAAACAAACAAAATTCAAACTTCCCAGCCAGTAATTTTCTCACACTAGTATACCTTGGTCATCTCAACAGCACTGTACAGAAAACCATCACAGTTGGAGTAAAAGCAAGGTAGGTCCAAATGATAAAGTTTGTCTTGGAAAATGAGAGTATTTGAGAAAGAAATAGCCTTATTTTTTTATAAAGTCTTCTCATAAATTCTTCATAAAAAGGTACTTTCAGGATTACCAGTATATGCAAAATTAGCCTCATTTTTAAAAAGCCTTTTAGCTTCTACTGGAAGCTACTGTATTGTATAAAAACAGGAAGTGTCTCTCTCTCTCTAGAAAGCATGTTCCATCTTGAAAAACAATTTTTTGATACACGTAGAAATGCTGAATTGATGAAAATAGTAACCAAAACAGTCCTGTGATGATTTTTACGGAAAAAATTGATAGGCTACTGTTGATTTATGCCACCTACACCTAGATTCAAAATGCAGTTCATTGCCACGAGAATGTTAGCATGCCATTAAGCTAACTGTCTCCCCACCCCAGCCCCAACTTAAAGTATTTACTTTTCCTGGTGGATGCAGGATACAGGATTACAAAACTATCACAAACATACCCTGTTATCTTTTGTGACCTTCGCTTCTGGTATTCTACTTCATCCACAGTCCATACTGCTCCTTTAACATTTTCTACTCGAACAAAACACTTGTGCAGGCTAAGATTATGACGTACTGCATTCTAAAGCAGACAGAAGAGAAGAAAAAATGGCAAAAATAATATTGTCTAATAAGGCAGCCCAACATACTACATTATTGATCTTACTTAATCAGAGTGAAAAATCTTAACATGTTTAAGTATTAAAATCAAAATATGGCATGATATTACAAACCTCAAACTTACAAATTACTGGAATCTGCAGTTTGAACTTTGTGATAAGAGAACCTTCCAAGCTATTTTAATAATAGCTGTGTCAAAACCTTCCTTTCATTGAACTGGTCTAAATTGCAATATCTGTACAAATTACAGTATCTTTGAAAATGCCAGAACAATTAGGTCAGCTCTGTTGTGTCCCTGATCAAGCACTCAGGGATGGTTGAAATGTCCAAAGGAACCAGTCCTGCTTGAGGTATTAAAATGCTAAAAAGGCTACAGTGACAAGTGTTAATTTTGCACAAAGCTTTATGCAAATAAGCTCAAAGGCATTCTTTTCATCCCTATAATAATGAAATGACAGAGTTTGTTTATTCTGTATTATTAGATGACATATGCAAGTTACAGTGTAACGTTCTGCCTGCACAATAAGACACACTTAGATTTTTTTTAAATTCCCAATAAAGTTTTTGTAAATGTTAAACTCAACTGAAAGTCGTTGCTGGAACCCGAGAGTACATTTTCTTCCCATAATGATTATGCAAACAGATGTTGTTGGCAGCTTTGTATTAGAGTAATTACTCAAAATTAACATTTTTAAATCAAATTAAGTCATTCCTAAAATTTTAGCTATAATAAATATACAGTAGACCACATAATTTACATCGAGTATTTTCCATAATTCAAATTATAAACCTAAGCAAATATTTCTTCCTGTCAAGGTACATTGGCATATAGCTATCAAGTACTCAGAAATGACCTAATTCTTATATTACGAATATAAAACAAAGTAATTTTGATGAAGATTTCTTTCTATTTGCACAAAGACAAGCTGCTTCTAGCTTGCTTTAAGAGAAGAATTCTTAAAAAAAAAAAAAAAGCATAAGCAGATCTAGCATCTGACCTGAAATCCAAGGATTTGATTGATCTTAATGCCCATGGCTCTGAATATGATAATTTTAATATTAATGAGCAAATGAGCAGTTTTATTATGCATGCGATATAGTTAGAACTAATAAGCTGTTCAGAATGAGTTTTGCTGGATCCCCGAGCTGTGGAGATGAGACCAAGCTAAGATATTAAATCATCTTTCATTTCTTTTAAAATTTCTTTCAGTAAATCAAATGACAGAACATTCACTACATTATCTAATGAGTAACAAAAGAAAATGTAAATCTTCAACATAAATATTACTTACTGAAAACCCTCCAAAACATATATTGCACAGATTATTGCTGACATTTTCATCATATAAAATATATACCAAGTAACTGTGCATAAATAAAACAATTACATTCATTTACAGTACCACATACTGTAGCAACTAATAACATCTAAACATTTTGTAAATTAAAAGCATTCTGAGTCTCACACCCATATATCTGTAATCGCTTGCCAGATTAATTTGCATTTTAAATCCAAATTAATTCACTTTAGCATATCTCACAGTCTAAAATTCTCAGTATGCTGATGAGTGCTTTGCTGCTTCTATTCTTCTCAGCTACAAACATTTTCCCCTTTTGTACCAAATGGCTTGTGGCTAATTGATGTTTCTGACTGCTTTTTGAAATGAAAATAAAACAGTTCACTTAGTCTGTGCTGAGTGCCCTTATCTTTCCAGACGTTGCTCTTTTCCAAAAATAGATGCATAGAACTAACATTTTTTTTAGCTCCTTGTAAGATTCAGACAATGAAGTTGTTTGGACAGGGATATAGATGAACCCTTTTGTCTAAGTAAATAAACTGCATTTATGTTCTGACAGGATAATATTCACTTTACTTTCTTTTAGTTCCAGCTGAGTAGCCATGGCCCTCACTCCCGTGGCAGCTTCAGTCTGTATGATGAGGTATGATGTGTACAAAAGGCGCAGACCAAGACAAAACCTACAGCCTCCATTTGTTGCACAAGCCAAACAGACATTTTTCAAACTAATTAGCCAATAATATGCAAGAGAAAAAGTAATATCGTGCGACTAACAAAGGTGTTGATGATTGAGTGCTCACACTGTAATTAGTGTGTCAGGCCCTCGTTTCTCTGCCAAGCCTCAGCTATTAATTGCACCAAATTAGAAAACTATATCAGAGGCAAAATTATTCTTTCACTTGTCATTTTGAGAGAGGGAATTCATTCCATTCAAGAGGCAGGTTAAAAAGAGGGGAAGCAGATACTAATCTGCTTATGTCATGTAAATAAATGTTCCTTGTGCTATCTGTAAGGAACTGTGGTAGGCATCTTAAAACTGCTGGAAAAGTAGTTACCTTCCAAGTTGCTGCATTACGCCTGAAGTAAGCAAATGTCCGTGTAAACCAGCTGTAAATTTCATTAAGTGTTAACTGCCTGTCAGATGACTCCATGATAGCCTGAAATGAGACAAGATACATAGTGACATAAAATAATGGTTTACTAACTAGACTAGATGACACTTTCTCATCCAAGCCTTACTTTAAGCATTAATGAATTTTAATTTAATCAGGCAAAGTTAATTTTCCTTCTACTTACCTGCCTTATGAGAGTTGCATAAGTAAATGGAGGTCTGACATCTGCATTTTTATAAAATTCATAGTTTGGGGCAATTTCTATAAAAATAAAAACTAGGTGTTAATTCTGCTAATAATTCACATTATATATAATTGAATTTTCATATTTCCTCTAGTATTGGTAAAGTGATTCAGTGAGGAAGCCACCGACTAGTGAAAGCACAAAGCATGACAGTGGAATTGAATTATATGGAAAAGGCCATTTCTGACGCGAAGTGCAAATGAAGCATCCCCTAGTTGTTCGTGGTACTTCAGGAACTGTGCGACCTGCTGGCCTGAGGATTTTTTTCCAATAGCCAGGTCTTCTTTAAAGTGGGTAGTTTAGGCATATTCTTACATGGACTTTTGCCCCCCTGCTATAATCTTTGCTTCTCTCATCTAATACGTCTTAAAGTACAACAGGCTCACCTCTGCATCTGTGGCCATCTAACAAAGGAAACACAAAACCCTCACCAAGCACCCATGTTGAAAATAACTTCACTTTTTGTAAAGAGGGGGCTCTGGGCTAATAATGGTTACAATGTGTGACTGTGATTATCCAGATGCCCCAGGGATGGCAGGTGGGGGAGAAGGGAGAAGGGAGAAGGGTAAGAGAGGGAAAGAAGGTAAATTTGTGTTCCATGCAAATGCAAAGTTTGCCTCTCACAATGCTTCTTAAGCAAAGTGCCATATCGGCATTAGGAGCTGTGACAGGATTTCATTTAGGTAGCACCTTGATAAAGACTGATTCATGTAAACCTCGAACTGTCTTGCATAAAGCAACGGTGTTTCGTATATGTCCTTTAAAATGGCTCTTCTCTACAGCATTACTCACAGATGTTGGATTGCTAGTCTTCCCTCAGAGATCAAAGGATCTCATTGAATTGAGGTGATAATATGGGCTATCCTGACATCTCTCAGTGTCTCTAATGGGGAGAGCTTTCTTTCCTGAACAACCATTCAGAACAATTCATCATGATGTGCTTAGGGAATCGCCCCTATTCGCATTTACCAGGAATAAAACAATTATCACTCCATAAATCATGACATGAGTTTCCATGTGCTCTGGAATGGCTCATGTACAGTTGATTCAGCTACAGTTTTCCTCTCCCAAAGTAAAAGTGCTCTACTGAGCATTCATATCCTACCTGATGACATGGGAATGTTGTATTTGTCTGAATGTCGCCTTCGTATGGCTCCCACATTGGGCACACTGGCTGGGGTGATTACTGAGGGTCCCTGGGTAATCGGGGTGACTGGGGCCGTTGGTGTGGTAGGGGTTTGAGGTAAGCTCTGTGGGGATGTCTCCAACATATTCTTCGACATGGTGACACTAGACACCAGATTTAGCTGCAAAGGCCCAAGAGAAGGGCAGGAAAAAGGTAGAGACAAGAGAAAAAGACTTAAAAAGGTTTGACAAATGAGAGTGGATTCACTTCTACAGCTGTGTTGCCACTAATAAGCTGCAAAAGGAAGCAGCCAATCTCAACTAATTACAGGATGAAATTGTATCATAAGAACTCTAATTAGAGGATTCTGTTAGAGGTTATCTAATAATCTACTGCAATGTTACTTAGGACTAACTCCTTCTTGTCCTACCAGACTTCAGCGAAAGTCTATTTCCTTAAATAAAAGCCAGTTGCTGATTATCGACTGCCCCTGTTGTTAAACAGGTCTAGCCCCCAGTGAAGCAACAACAACAGCAATAATGAAGGATGCAATGTTTTTAACCAATAGGATTTAAAGTAAGTTGCTATTCTGTTGATGCCAGAATTTTTTTTTTCGTAGTCCCAAATCTCAGCTGAGAGGCTCCAGCCAGCTGGAAAATTTTACACTGACCTTTAGTCTCCTTGCTAATTTGGTGGAATGGTAATGACATTACTACATATTCAAACAAAATTGTCTTAATTGCAAATTAGCCGGAGGAGGCTGAAAATTTTCAAATTAAATCTGATTGGAGATGGAGAGAGGGAAATGGAATTTCCTCACTAACAATCATTTGTGGCATGTGTTAACAAATATAATGAAATGTCAAGTTTGCCAATTCCTCTGGAAGTATCATTTTCAATTTATGATTACAGTGTCACTTAATGCTGATGTACCCTGGAAAGTGGGTGTCAGGGTAGAAAAAAGAAAAAAGGTGAGAATGTATGCAAGCTGTTTAACAGTGTGCCCTTCATTACTCCCCTCAGAAAGGCCCTGTTCTTCATTATCAAAAAACTCATATCACCTCTGTCATATTTACCACACATCTTTTGTCATAAATAGCATCCAATTAGCAAAATTTTTACGCAGGGCAGCACATAAAAAGATTTCTGCCATACATTTAAATGGTATTCACAAGAGGTAATCTGTGGTCCTTTTTACTTTATACAGTAGGCTATACAACCAAGCAAGAAAACTAATTCTAATTGTTCTGTTTCTCTATAAAGTAACTGCTGAGTGGCTAAATAGAGAATATTCAGCTTTTGTTTATAATTTAGTAACACCTGTCTTTTTAAATCCCAAATACACTTCTTAAGATAAACCTTTTTTTAATGGGGAGAAAATGATGTGTACAGCATTGATTGATCTTTCTTTGTGGATTTGTTTTACACATTTAGTCAGTAGAGAGATTTGTTAGGGAAACAAAAATTAACATATGCCAGCTAATTGTTCTTCTTTCTTGGGCAGCAGCCAGAAGAAGCACATTAGCAGTCTAATAATAACGACTGGCACCCTGAAGGCATCCCCAAGTGCATCTGTTCCCAATAAACCACAAACTGTTATTCTGTTCATACTCTAAGCCAGCAGACTGGGTAGGGAATTCTTTGTTACGTACATAAATGAAAGCTGAGATAATGCTCCTAAATGCTGCATTTAATACATTTACAAAGCCACTGGTGTAAGCTTCTCTGGGATGTACAAGAGCACCTCTGCATAGTTTGAGAAACGCAGAAACATCCATATGCATCTGTATGTGACTTTGCAAATATTCTAAAATATCAACATCAGAACATATACATAACAATGTTATATTTAGAAAATATCAGCATTACATACTTGTATGTTAAAAATATGAAAAGAAAAGAAAAGTATTTCCCCATACATAAAAAAAAAAAACTCAGCTGGATGGTTACATATTCACTTTTAGAATTGCAAACCAGAACAAAATGGCACATTCAGAACCCAGAAAATACCAAATTGCAAATCAATGAAATATCTATCCTGATGAATATGTGACAGGACTCTGTACATTTTACCAACACATTAAAAGTTATCAAAACAGGAGAAATACATCTTTTTCAATGCAAACCACTCATGTTTACAATGTTACGGTAACTTATTCTGCTATCCTGTAATAATAAGCATACCATGTTTGTAGGCGTACAATCACAAACTGATAAAATAGAATTTATTATTAACTAAAGGGAAGCATGTAAAAGCTAGGATGAGCACTTAGCCACCTCGACTCATCTGAATATAGTCAAGGTTGGGTGAAACTCATTATTCAGGACTCGCAGCCTTGATAACTTTGATTTTCATCCATCCATAGCATGGCCAAAAGGTACCATTTAATGAAGTACCATTCAGAGAGTAAATGGGGTCATATAATAGACAGTGCGGTTGCACCTTGTGTTCATGTACTGATAGCTGTTAAGGGTGCAGTGATGAACCAACAGAGCTCATTTCTCCTTGGTAATAAATTCATGCTATTAATATTTATCAAATGTGTGGGCCGTCTCAACTGAGCCACTGCACATGAGACCATAAATCTCTACTATCATATCAATTTTGAAGCTTCTTTTGTACAGTGTATAAATTTTAGGGTTTTTTTGAGGGTTGTGAGTATTGACCACTCTTCTTTCAAACCGATCTGAGGCCAATAGTGCAGTTCCTCACTTCAGATATCGCTAGTTCCAAAGGGAACTTTAAACTGTGGTTTCATTTTAAATCGCTCATCTAAGATTCTGTATTAATTGCCCACCATCAAACGCAATTAGCAATTCTTTCATGTGTGGTTTATGTAATGTAATACTTCAATTACATTATTCATTCAGGTTCTGTTTTGGATTATAGGCTGAAAATTCTTTATTAGTGTAGATGTAACCATGCTGCTGGAGTTTTAAAAAATTTACTGATTGAATAATTAATTGGAAAAGAACAAGCTGCAGATTCCTGATGGATTTATGAGACAATTATTCTGTCTTGTGATTATCTACATTATACTATAGAAGCAATGAGGGAAAAAATCTTATTGAAAAGATAGTCATAAATACATGATCAAAAATATCCTCAAAAGTTTATTTTTTAATTAAAAACTCAGACATTTTAGAGTTTAAAAAGTAGTATGTCAGATTCAAAAAGATACATGTCTTTTTTCTTCCTATAAAAATGTTTTTACAGTACTCTACCTTTAAATACAGTACAAAGGAAAAGCAGAAATAGCTTAGCAGAGTTTAAATATAATCTCTACCAAAAAAGTAAATTTTGAATGATATTAATTGATAAGAAATATCGAGACATTACGAGAAAATTAGACAATATAGTCGTCTTCTGTCTCCTCCCCAACTACAAAGCCAAATGTTCGTTTTTTACCTAAAGAAATAGAGGGAGAGGCAAGACTGGCAATCATTAATCATCAGGCTATACAGGGGCCTTATTAAAAAGTATCCCACAAACTTTCATTAAACTAGAGTTACCCAGTTGATTACTCTAAGTTTCTGTGCAAACATCAGCTGAATGAGATAAAGTATATTCTTTTCAACAGTCTGTGTATCTGACTACATTATTAGGTTGAGCTTAAATCTCATATATTTTTGAGGGAAACTAGTCTTAATTTTCTATAATCACCCACTTCTTTTTGTGATAAGCTCTCTAAATTAACATTATGTATAATGTACAATAAAACATATCAATATGTGAAATACATCTTAACTGAAATAACCAAAGAAATAGGACAAAATTGGCTATAAAAATACCATGACCTTTATGACAAAATATTTGATAAAAATCTATTTATATGTATCTTATGATTGATCTGCCTTCTTCAGCACACCACATACATTTCTATTTGTGATTTGTACGTTACTACTTTTCAGGTTGCTCAAAGAGGGTTTCCTTTTAATATCTGTAAACCTATCACAGAAAGAAATTCTCTCTGGCTTCAGCCCCAAGGCAGTGATTTGTGCACTGATAGGTGTACTTTGTTTAGTGTCACCCATGGTGTAGATTGGATAGATTTTGTAAAAGATAGCATTACTTTAAAAGAAACATACAATTTGACAAGCGATTACATTTTACTTTCATTTTATTGCCGTATTTTTCATCACACTCATTGTTTTCTAACTGTCACTAAATTGTTCATTTTCTTAGTCTGTTACATTGGTAGAGCTATTTACTGTTTATAAAGCAATATGCACTTACAGGTTTGGGAGATGGTTTGGGCTCTGAGGGTCGCATGTGCAAGTGGGTCATCATTGCTTGAAGACGTTCGCGTTCTTTAGAAAGCTGTTAAGAAAGAGTGAGATCAGAAGCGTTTTAGAAATGACTGATACAGCTATTTTATTGCAGTGATACATCTTATCATTGAGCTTGCCTCAGAATAATGATTCCTGCATGTAAAAGTCTGCGTCAGGAGGAACTTATCTGGGAGGAAATGCAACTTTAGCTATGGAGGGGGAAAAACTTTTATAGCTTTTCTTATGTTAAAAGGTCAGAGAAAACAAATAACACTTCATCTTTTTGTCAATAAGAGAATTGAGGTCACAGTTGCCTCGACAGTAACAAGTTACTGAAACCATAAATTAGAAGGCCCATGGTGTCTCTTTAAAGTCCTGTGGACACTGTTAGCAATGGACTAGTGCCAACAGCTGTGAAGGGGTGAAGGGTTCTCAAAGCAAAGTGCCTGCCAGGATTGTCTACACACTTCATGCATTCCCACTGAGGTCCAGTTAGTGCCCCCTGCAATCTGCCATCATCAATCTAATTCAATAGAGTGACAGAGACCAGGCAGTGTGAAACGCTGAACTCTGCCACGGAGTCGGCATCTACACTTGCACTGGGTCTCATTACAACTGACGGACCTTACTTTTCCATCAGTCAGACACAGCAGAAGGAAAAAAAAAAAATAGGCGTAATTGGTCACACCGAAGACTGTATCATCAGCTGAACTCTTATGTTTTAGTCTACCTTTTATAAATGGTAAACAGGTTTATAAAAAGCTTTTTAAACTTTAACAGTGATGGTGCTTTTTGTGTTCTTGATTATTTTACAAGTCAAAACAAAATATTTTTAGTAAGCTCTCTGAAAAAAGCAATGACACGAATTTGAAACAAGATGTAATAAAATATGAAGAAAAATCGTATCTTTAAATGAAACAAAGTATTAGTTTCATTGAGAAAAGATCATCTTTAAGATGAAATGTTAGAGAAAGCCTTAAAGGCTTAGTAAAACATAACAAGAGTCAGACTTTGGGTGACATAATTGCTTTCTGATTAGTTCTATGGATTCTATTTACTTCTGGCCAAATTCTGTTTCAACATTAATAGAATTTTTTTTAACTTAAAACAGTCGCATTTGATACAACATGTGTGTATTATCATCTGTGATATAAATTATCTGCCTTTAATCTAGCTAAAGAAAAGTATAAAGATTTTTTTGCAAGTTCTTTAATTAAAATTACACTAGAAAAAGAAAAGAAAAGGTTATCTTTCAGGGTGTTAGTTATATTACAGGCATGATATTGTAAAGACTGGTCATTTGCCACAATATAAAATCTCATGGAAAAAAATCAAGGTTAGCTCATGTAAAAACTCTCTCTGTAATAAAATCATATCTAATTGGGAGTTTGGTCTAACCTGCATTGGGAAAAACTTAGATCTGACTACTTTGGGATATTCAAATTCATATGATGTGGTCTAAAAGTTATAAAAATATAAGTGATAAGTACATTAAACTACAGCAATCCTTCCTGGGTTATCAATAATTGCCACTGTTTAAAACAATCTAAAATATCATGTATCTCCATTAGTATTGAATGGCTAAGACAGTAAAATGCAGGCTGAAAGACCCAGAATCTGCTCAGTACTCAATGTAACACACCAGAAATCTAAGAAGAGTCCATTAAGTGAGCATTTAACAAACCTGTATTTCTAACTGTTGCACCACCTGCATTTGCACTCGACACTGAGCAGTGCTTCGGTCATCCAATGCGTGTTCATTGTTAAGGTGCCTAAACAAACAGAAGACACAAAACAGAATGTAAAGTGATGTCGATCTTAGTGGCATAGGCTACACTTAAAAAGCACTACACTGAAGTCAGATGTTTCTGTGCACTGGGAAAACAGAAAGCCTTGAAACCATACAGATAAAAGTTAAAGCTGCTTACGTGTTGTGTGAAAATTATTTATGTAATGTAAAGAGACTCTTCAAATGGCAGAAAATGTCACTGTCTCTAAGCTTACCTGTTATTACAAAAAATATTTCCCCAGACCATTTACAGAGTTATAGTAGAAGTCATATTATTTATGCCATTTTTTTAAAAAGAACAGCTTACAAATCTATGAACCAAAAGCAATTCTGAAGAGAACAAAGGCAATTTTCTATTTCATTGTTAGAACAGTTTGTTGTTTCTATGATGTATTTTAGTGAGCAATGTTTTATTTCATTGGGATGTGGTATGAATTAGGTAAAGATGGCAAATTATCTCCCGTGGAAAATCAATATTTATGAAGAATGATGATTTGCTGTTAGTAATAAAGAACTTCATTGAAGATTTTGATCATTAGAATAACAAGATTGACATTTCATGTCCAGTGTTCTAACTAGGAGACATTTGTCCTAATCTTATTTTTAAAATGGTGAAAAATAAATCATTCCAAATGATCTCACTCTAACCTTGAATATGCATTAGTCTACCATTATTATTTCTATACGATGTTTAAAGAGATCTCTTTAATGAGTGGTATGTTAATACACCAAAAGTAATTTAGTAAAGCAGCATCTCCAATGAACATGAAAACATTTAATAATATATACTCTGTAATTTGTAATACATAATGTCTTTGATGCTTCCCAAAATTAAAGAAAGTAATCTTCAAGTAATTCAATATCCTTTAGTGTATCTATTTCACCAATGGGCAAAGTAAGGCAACAATTTCAGAGATGTTCTCATCATTGCATATAAGTGAAATGGCATATTGAAAAGAAATTCACAAAATTAAATAAGAATTTATATATTTACCCAAGTGGGCTCAAGTATCATTTAGAATGATATAATAGTCTAAAAAGTTTATAATAGCCCTGGGTATACTGAATTCAACAAATATATTTTTGTATCCATTCAAATTATTTACTTTTATTTCTTGAAGATCACAGTGAGGCAGAAAAAATATAAGACACATACATGTAAAACATATGAAGAGTAATTAAAGTCGTGTTGCTGATAAAAACTAATTTTATTATAAACAAAAGGTTTATTTGTTTATATACCTAGGTTCAACAATCAGAAACCTTTGTTTTGCCTATACCTTGATAAATTAAACCAGTTTGTTTTAATACTTCCTTATTGATCATAACAACAAAACCTCCATGTATCTTGTCACAATGTCAGTCTTGGTTGAAGAGAAACTGTGGACTAAAATAGCAAGGTGGATAAGGTCAAGCTGAAGGAGTGTGGCTGGAGTGCAGGGGAGGCACTTCCACTATACCTGTCTGCTCTCTAAGCTCAGCTCAGGTTTGTTCTGCTGTGAACCTGTGAGGAGGATTAACATTCACTCATGCTCTCTGGGAAGGAGGTATGGAATGTGAGAGTAAGCCAGAGGTTAGTTAACAGAAAGTGTCACCAATTCCTAAATAACAAGACTACATTTAAAAATTGTTTCCCAGGGTTTTTTCCCCCAAAATTTAAATGAACAGTAAGACAATTTTCTACCAGCATAATACAGTTGTGTGTTGTATTCTTAAGGCTTCATATTGCTGTGTTTCCGTAAGATTTTTTTTTTTTTCACCATGAACTCTTGGGGAACACAAACATATTTATTCCATATAAGAAAAAATGTTGCATATTTTCAAAAATGCTTCAGTTATACACTGAGATTAGGGTGTAAATGCAGGAAGCAAGATAAGTAGAACATACAGGTCTGCAATAAAAGGCATAGTCACTATAACATTTTCTTGTGAAATCACTTTTTAAAATGATTTTCTACACTTGTTTACTGCTTAGTGATAATCATGATCTTATATTTAAAGAACTAAAAAAAGTACAAAATGTTTGCTTTATATACTTGGGTCTTAGAGCCCTATTCAATTTATCTATGCAGCTTTTATTAGAATAGAGACTGTAGACTACAATAATAGTCAATGAGGTTTTGTCTTGATTGAATTTTTCAGTGGAACACAAAAGAACCTTGCCATTAAAATAGTCCTTTATTCTCCTGTATGAAGGCGAAAGGTTTTTAAAGTGTTGTGATGTTCAGTAATGAGCCTCTATCTAAATTATCATTGGTGACAAACTCACAAAGCACTTTTCGAGGACACATAGTTATGAAATGCCAGAGCTGCCACTTTCTTTCCTGTAATTATAGGCTAGCTTGCAGCCCTTCAATGATCATTTATAGAACAGCCTCCAGTGGATTACTGAGAACTTGAAAAACACATACATACCTCTGCCACATCTCCCTTCTCCTTTCCTCGCTATTGTTTACCAGTGATATGTAAAAGAATAGTGCCTATTCATTCCCTCTACTTAATTATGCCAATCAAAGTACAGAAATAGTGTCAGATATAAATACAATGTAATAAGACTAAATAAATAGGCTAAGTATTAACATTAAATTATGAATTTATGAATTTATGACTATTTTGTGCCGAAATTATTCTCTTTTATGTTTTTATAACTATCTCAGGTACTACATATTACTGTTCAAAAATTCTCTATGATTTATAAATCAAGAATGAGATAATACTGAAAAATGAGAGGATTGGTGGATTTTCTCAGTCAGTGCCTAATTGCTGTTTCAAAATGCATATGCAAAGGGACATTTCATTAATCATTTAATCATGTCCCTTGCAGGAAGTTGGAACTAATGTTGCAAATACCCTTTTCATATGAATGCTCCATAATACTATCTTATGCATTTGATATATTGCCTATGTCATAAATTACGGCTGCTTCAAAAGGACCAAGTGGGGTTGTTATCCCTGAAGATGCTTGTTACAAAACCTTTATTAAGTTTCTTTTTTTACTTATTGGTAGTTCTATTTCACAGCTTCATACTAGCCAACAATAATACTTTTTCTGATGGCAAAGGTCTGTAAATTACCCATGCAATCACTAACACCATTTCACAGGCCTGTTCTACTTCTACTGGTCTGCTAACAAGGCGATTACACACAAATTACTGAATGCCTATGAAATATTTAAATGCATTCTACTCTACTATGCATTAATAAGAGCAAAGCAAGCTCTGGAATTCTGGTTAGCTCCAGTCCCTAATGTCCCCTAATGAGCCTCTTACCGAGACTGCAGTTCAAACAGAGAGGTGAAGAAAAAATGCAAAGGGTGCCTTCAGAAAGGCAGCACTGAACAAACATTGTGTGAGCCAATTCTAATTTATGGGTCACTTTATAGGTATATTGATTTTTGTTTTCAAAATGGAATAAATGATGTGGTCGACTGACGTTCTTTCAAAACTGCATTGAATCTGTGTGTTAGGTAGGTAGTATCAACTAGATACATAATAAGCAGTCAAATTCTTTCTAAAAACAATTAAGCAAGCACTTCAGGAAGACAAAAAGTAGGAAAGGATCCTTCCAATTTATTTAATGCATAATTCTCTTTAATGAAGGTTTTATAGATGATTATGAATGTAAGTGGTAACTTCAATTATATACAATCCAGATTAGTGATTCAATTTTAACCTCTGGATTTTTCATATTCATTTAAAGTTGTAGCATTTTATAAGCTAAAAAGGGATCAGATTTAAATCCAAGTATGTCAAAGACTGTTTTAACAAAATGTTTCACTTGCATATCACTGGTGTTTGATTTATTTTGCATCAAGCTTTTTATGTTTAAACACTGACAGGAGTTTAAATACAAAATGTTAGCTGTCACTATTCATTTAGTTGATTATGTGAGATGCCTTAGTTTTCAGAGATGGGGGGGCACTGTCACCAAAAGAAACAACATTCTGACAAGTTCAAAGAATGCCTTCTTGAGGTCATAATTTTGTAGCCATGCTGCCTAGTCAAAGACAAAGAAATAGACAATACACATTAAGTAAGAGCATAATTTTTAGAGTAGTCAGCTGCAATGAAAAAGAAGACAAATTTCTATTAAATAAACTACTCTGTTTCCACTGTTTTCTATTGCTCTTCATATAGTATCAAGCCTTAAAAATTTAGTCTGTAATAAATTTAACTCATTTACACCCATCTACTAATTAATCTTTAATACATTAATATCTTTATAGACACTAGCCATCCTGCCTTTCTTAAAGGAGAGTATTTCCACCTTTGTATCTCAGACCATGTTTTGTGTGTTGGCATCTATGCTTGCAGGTTCAAGAACACTTGTCTGCTAAATGGAATGTTATATTGTAAACCTTTTGGCTTAAGCTCTAAAAGTCAATTCATCTATATTCAAGCTGACTTAGTTCCAATGGAATGATAATTAATTTTGCAGACAAACTACTCTAAAGTTTTGTCAGATGTTATTACTCTTTGACATTTATAAGACAGTAATGAAGAACTAGTATTAAATGCTTTTAGTGATCTAGTGAGATACTCAATTAGTGGTCAGGAAAAATGGTTAGCTTCTGTCAACACCTACTTTACACTAAAACTCAAAAATTTTCCTCAACACTTTTTTATCCTGGACTCCCTTCATCATTTTGTATTTTCTGCTTTCATCTTGCTGTTACAAATAACTACTTCTAACTTAGTCTGAATTTTTTTTATCCAATGGAAAAGAGTGCCTCAATTAAAAAGTATATAAGAATTAAAGAATATATAAGAATAAGAATATATAACACATAAATATATACGATACATAAATATATATAATATACAGGTACATATATATGTGTTATACATAAGCAACTGTCCTATAATGGCTTTTCATTTGGTGCAAGATAAAAATAGAGGGATTCCACCAGTTTGTTTGAGATGTAATGTGAAAAAAATAATTTGGGACTCAATATATTTTCTATTATTCTTTTTAATGTAACATATGTCAGCTAAACAGTAAAAATGAATGGTTTCCTTTTATTTCAAACCAAAAGATAAGTTATCTGATATCAAATTAAAGTCGAAGCTGTAAAATTTATTTCTAGCGTATACTAGAACTAAAAATGCACAATAATATTTTCCTAAAAAACTTTTATAATAAACACTGGATATACAATTTAGGGAGAATGGATACACAAAAAAATGAGAACTAAAAATCTTTCACAGCTTTTTAATTTACCTATCATTTTGCTCCCCAAATCCTCAATTTTCTCCATTATTACAAAGGAAAACAAAGTCCTCTGAGAAAATCTGTCGAAGTGATTATGCTTTCCTTCTTCATTTTCACTTCCCACACAGATGCTAAATAAACTTTTTTTGAATAACCGAAGTTAATTCATTTAATGAGATATTTTCTTTCTTTTCCAATTTCTAACACATTTTCAAGAAGACAATGCCACTACAGAAAGTATATCTAATCGATATTTCACTTCGGTCAGTATACTTACATTAGCTCTGTTAACAGAATTTATCACAGATCTTTGAGTTAGTGAATCTAAAGCATATCAAAATAAAAATGGACTAAAAAAAGGCTTTAAAACCTCCTGTCATTAGTTCTGTCATCCCTATAAAGTTAATGGGTTGGAAAAATGGTCAGTCTTTGGAACCAAAGTTGATATTTAATTGAAAGGAAATGCTTTTTTAATTGTAATTTCTTTGGTTTTTTAAAAAACACTGGCATGAATATGAAAGAAGACTATTTAAGGTAAAATGAGGGTTCATATTCATCTGGTTGTCAGTAATAAAAACATAAATATTTGAGCTAAATTAAATGCTTCTTTCAATTTGCTATAAACAAAATCATACTGAAGGAAAATATGTATTTTTCACCTAAAGATTTATTTTGAATTTTGTCAGAAAGAACAATTTGGAGCAATAAAATGCATGGTGAGTGGGTTAGTCCTATGGCATAATTTGCCATTCTTAAAAAAATGTAACAATAGCCCTTTACATAATTTCAATGACAAGGAATAATACATTGATAAGGACTAATGTATTCACATGAGGAAATGGGAAATAATTTGTTAAAATAACATCCCTATGTTCTTTCTTTGCTTTAACAATTTTTTTTTTTTTTTTTTTTTTAGAGAAGAAAACTTCAGCAAAGCTACCTAACATTTTTTAATGGTCTCTTTGCTTATAATCAGTTTCATACCCAAGGAAATGGCAGCTCACAACTGTTTTGATAAAAGAAAAGTGTAAATTTTCATTTAAGGCCATTTACAAAGAGCCATAGTGGTATATGAAGCAAATTTTCTCTTAATTAGTTAGAAATGATAAAAGGTTAAAAAAATCTTTGTGGAAGTCTTACTGTAATTCATTTATAAAGTTATTGTGATGCCAAGTACTTGTGCCTGGTTGTTAAGGTGCTTTTGCTCTATACCCTGTAGTCAGTCTTCCATTTGTAAACACATCTTTTTGATGTTTCTGCCAACATCCTGGCAACAAAGCAGTGCAATTTCAAATGAGCTAATTAACTTAATTGTTGATGAAGCATGAAACAGTTCACTCACCCTGTTAGCTGCACCATGACAACATAAGAGTCTCAGCCTGTGAAGTTACTCATCTCCATAAGCCTATCTGTAGCTCTCTGTTTAGATCTCTTGTACACCAGAATTGTGTAAGGAAAACATTTCATGAAAGATGAAGATTTTCACTTGAAAAAGAACCCCTTATGATTTTTTTAAAAATAAAATTTTCTATTAAAAATTAAGAATACACAAAGTTTTGGTTTTAAGCTAGAGAAGCCATGTAATCTGTTATACAAACATATAGCCATGTGTGTTTCTTGATGTTTCTAAGGGCAAAAAGTAACAATGTAAATGAAATGTAGTTTTTTTAATTTTAGCCAGTATAAACTTTCACTTTTAATTCTTGTAGTTACATGTATATACTAAATACTACTATTTTAAAAAATATATAAAGCCTGTAATTAAAAAACGAACTTTCAAAATATGTTTACTGAAATATATATATATATATATATATATATATATATATATATATATATATATATTAGGATGACTCACATAATATTAATTAGAAACTTAAAACTTAAGAGAATTCTATTTTATAAATAGTTCTGTTATAAATGTCTCCAGTGATTAATGACATATTATTGTAGGCTAATATTTTTCATTCATTCAAAAATCTTTACTAAATGATTTGTAAAATATCTTAATGAAAAGATGAAGCCTGATCTTACTAATCCACTTGTTGGAACCCACAAAAATCTTGAAGTATGACTTATAATGGACTTTTACATTCCTCCTTCATCTTTTGTTTATTTACAATGTGCCTAAAATGCCCATATAATCCAGCCCCCGCCCCCCACCAAAAAAAAGTAAAAAACCTACTTTAAAAACTGTCCAAAATCTTCACAAATGCTTTCACAGCCTGGCCATTTGCAAACTCCATGGCCATAGAGAGTGTGAGAGGCCCCAGTCTCCTCATGTGACGAGCTGTAGCAAAAGAACACGACGTCAGATTCATCTCAAAAAGCTATAATCGTTGCAGGCTGCTAGCGCCTGTCAGGTTACGATCAGTGACAAACAGGTCAAAACAGGTCAATTCAGCTCAGAGCAGTCAGAAAAATTTAATCGTTCTATTGAATAGTTCAACTGCCAAGGCTAGATGATGTTCCAATTAGAGGAGAAATAGAGCCAAAGATGACTGTTAATAAAGGATGAAAAACTAAGAGGACTGTATAATATCATATGCTAATCCTGCCTTATGACCTTAATGTAACATTTTATCTCTAAATAAAAAATGTATATTCATATGTGGTCAAGTGAAAAAAACCTTTATTTTCAAGAGAATAATAGGACAGCCATCATAAGATTTTGAAATGCTCTTTTTAAAGAAGATATGGACCTCTAGGATCATTTAATTTGTTTAATATTTATGTATAAACCACATATATTTCTACTAGTTACACCTGATTTAGAAAATCTACTTTGGAACAGTATTCATTAGCTTTATCTTTATATAATTATTGAAGACTTTTGATAAGTGAATATTAGAGAGATCCCAGAGAAATCAACCAAGTTTTGGAATACACAATCATCAAATTAATCTCAATTAAAACAACAGCATGAAAGCATTCAGGAGCATACCACTTTATACTAATAAAACCAAACAAGAAAAAGTTTCCATGATACTCAAATGAAGGCCAGAAACATCACTGAATTATAGAATTTTATTTTAAACTGTACTATAATTAAATATCTGTTTCTTTGGAAAACATTTGTTTATGACAAAGAATTTGTTATGGCAAGGCAGATATTCATATTGCATAACAGAACACTATCAGTCCACTACACTTACATATGAAGTTTGGAGCTATATATAAGCCTAAGCCATTATGTTAAGAATTCTACACTTACATTTCATCTTTCAAAAATAGATTTTTCACACTGAACAATATTTTAGTTTATGAACTATATGCAAATTACTTTAAAGGACTTGATTAGAGAGCAAGATGCCTAAATAAATGGAGCTAAAGGACAAATGTACATGAATGCTCCTTTCACAAATGCAATTTTTATACAACTAAAAACAGTAGTTAAAAATTATCAAAAAAATTATCTAACATAACACATTTAATATTAATAACTGAAATAAAAAATTTTTCTTTGAAAGTTTAGTTGAATTTAATCATAAAATTACCAACATATTTATCTTTATATATTTACTTATTTCATCATGCAACAATTAAAAAGGCAAACCAGATTTTCCATCATCTAGCTTATTATGCTTGTGTTTATATATTTATCTGTTCTCTGATTTCTAATTCATATGTTTGAAACATATAAGAGAGATATCCATGCATCTTTAATTATTTGAAATTAAAGAACTGATTTTTAGCTTAAAAAATGTTCTCAGCAATCAGGTTAATCATATCAGTCATAAAAATATATTGATACAATCATTCCACATGCACTCATGAAAAAATAAATTTCTTCAGGCAAACTCCCAAACTACATCCATCAAACTTTTGGTATTTGAACTGCTTTTCTGTAATATAAAGAATATAGGCCGGGCACGGTGGCTCACGCCTGTAATCCCAGCACTTTGGGAGGCCGAAGCAGGAAGATCACGAGGTCAGGAGATAGAGACCATCCTGGCTAACATGGTGAAACCCCGTCTCTACTAAAAAAAATACAAAAAATTAGCCAGGCGTGGGGGCGGGCGCCTGTAGTCCCAGCTACTCGGGAGGCTGGGGCAGGAGAATGGCAGGAACCCGGGAGGCGGAGCTTGCAGTGAGCCAAGATTGTGCCACTGCACTCCAGCATGGGTGACAGAGCAAGACTCTGCCTAAAAAAAAAAAAAAATATATATATATATATATATATATATATATATATTATATATAAAATAAGATAAATAATCTAAAGATTTCTAATCTGTTGTTCTATACATTTTGTCCTTGCTCCAAGTACAAATTGTTCTTTTTCATTGTCTCAATGGTGAAAATAAAATCTGAAAATAGATAAATATAGAATAAAGCTCATGAGATTTACCTGTCTCGTCTTGCACTTAGAACTGAAGACTGTCCATTCACTATGGAATGATGAGTTATTGGTGGTGATGCTTTGGAAGTGTTGGAGGAGGTAGTCGAGGAGGAATTGTTAGTAGTGAGGTCTAGCCCTCCATGTTTAATGCCATTGTCTTCCATACTGTGAACTCCAGTCACTTCTTTCCATAACTGCTGAATCTCAGCAGGACTTAAGCCAGCTATAAAATGAAAGAAAGCTTCACTAGCATAACAAGGTAAAGGTAAAGTTTATATAATGAGCTTTGTGTTATTAATAGATTAATACCAACAACAACAGTGATGTTACCTGCATAAATTAATATACAACAAAAAATCACTTTTACACTATCAGCACCAAAGCTTTTGTCTTGAAAAACAATCATTTATTTTCTAAAGAGTACCAATTTGGGAATAGTATGGGGAATAATGCCATATGAAATTACTGAGAATAATATCAAGCATTAAAAAAAAATCCCTGCATGTTCCATTTAAAAATTGAACTAGGGCCAGGCATGGTGGCTCACGCCTGTAATCCCAGCACTCTGGGAGGCTGAGGTGGGTGAATCACTTGAGGCCAGGAGTTCGAGACCAGCCTGGCCAACATGGTGAAACCCTGTCTCTACTAAAAATACAAAAATGAGCTGGGTGTGATGTCACATACCTGTAATCCCAGCTACTCAGGAGGTTGAGGCGGGAGAATTGCCTGAACCTGGGAGGCAGAGGTTGCAGTGAGCTGAGATTGTACCACTGCACTCTAGCCTGGGTGAGAGTGAGACCCTCTCTCAAACAAAAACAAAAAAATAAAAAATAAAAATAAATAAATAAATAAATACAAATAAAAATTGAACTATTCAACTTTTAAGAGTAGTTTTTACCTATTGCTAGTATTAAGGTTTGTTTTTAAATCAGTGAGGAACTGAAAGAGAAACAGATTTCAAAATAATATCAAAATAAATAAATAAATAAAAGGGAAAACAAAAATGCCAGGGAAAAACAGTGAACACTCAACTCAAAAAAATAGGAGATTTGACAATTATCTGTTCATTTTGATATTTCTCAGAGGGATGAACTAAATAGCTAAATTTAATTTTGGTGTCTTAAACAAACCAATATGCTTACTTAACTGGATCAGTTAAGAAGATTATATCTAAACTTCTCCTTCATTTATGACTGATAGAGTAAATCAACTACTCATTTTAAACAATTCCCTGATTCAGGTTATGCAAATTTATTTGAATTATACAACAATAAAAATAGAAAAGCTAGATATAATCATTTAGTTTTTAACTATGAATTTGAAATAAAGTATTGAGAGACTATTGCTTACAGTATTTGACTTACAAAATAGTACTGTGTCTTTGTATATTTTTTATAGACCTTGTGCTTTTTAATCCTCAGTACAAACTAATAGAGTTGGTATGATTAAGCAATTCATGGAAAAGGAAACAAACTAAGAGAGAAGTTAAAAAATATGTCCAAGATCACACAGCTTCTACGTGGTAAAGTTGTGATTTAAATCCAGGCAGTCTGGCTTGAGTATATTTGCTATTAAAATACTATATTAAGAAAATATTAAAACTACTGAATAAATAAGTACAGGAAAAAATGAAGAGAGTATTTACTATATTCTGGCATTTTTACTAAGAGCTTTACATTTATAATCTTAGTTAACCTCACCTGAGGTTAGAAATCATTATATTTTACAAGAAGGCTCAGAAACATTAAATATGTTCCCCCAAATCACCCAATTTATGATCAGTGGGCAGAATTCAAACTCAATGCTCTGTAGCTCCAAAATCTATGTTCTTAATTACTATGTGCATCTATAACATCTAATATAAAGATGAAAGTGCAACTCAAACTACCTCTCCCAACCGAACATACATCTACATTAGATACTATAGTGATGTAAGAGATGTGTGGGGTGAAGCAGGTTGGAATAGTCACGGGAGATGGGGCAAGATAACAGAATATGATGGTGAGAAGAATGAACTCTCTCACCCCAATCCCTGCAAATGGAAAAATCCCTGATCTAGATATCACTATATCTAAGTATTGGCCAGTAGCCAATAGGAACAGAAGAATTCTCACTGTTCCAAACATAACTTCTGGTTATATTATTCATCACAGCATTAACCTTAAATAGCTATGCCTATCACAATTTCGTACAGGTAGTTTTACTGAAGGCTATCATTTCAGTGATTCTGGCTCCTTGAGATTTAAGACAAGGACCTAGCCTAAAGAAAAAACAGGATAATTCGGGTTTCCAAAGTTACTACAACCCATTTTTTTTCCATAAAAAAAGAAAGTGGCTTTATAAAGAAAGGTTTCTCTGTTACATAGGAAACAACTTTTTATATAAAGATCTATAATTATTGCTTTAACCTAGAATTCTGAAACTCTTCTGACAGTAAATTTTGATTATCTGTTGGTGTATGTTAGGTGTCCCAACAGGAAAACTTCATTAGCAAATCCTTTTTCATGATAGCACCAACATGTCTTTTGCATTAGAACTTTCACCATCTTACCAGCTGCCTCTCTGCTGTATTGTCAACTCTTGCCTGGATCACAGCTATAGCCTTCCAACTGTCTTCCTGCTATTACCTTGCCTTGAATATATGAATTTACTCTTCATGGAGTATCCAAGTATTCTCTCTATAAATGTAAATTAGGTCATGTCGCTTCCCAGGCAAGGCCTCCAAAGGCTTTCGAGAATACTTAGAAGAAAACAAAATGACAAAACAACAACAACAACAGAAACAAAAACAACCTTTAATATAGCCTATGGGGCACTGCACTTATTATCTGGCTCTTGCCTGTCTCTCTGATCTCATCTACCGCTCTCTCTTCACTTTTCATTCTGTTATACCAGCCTTCTGTTGCTTCTCAAATGTATCAAACATTTGCTCCCTTTCCAACCTTTGCTCTGGTTGTTCCCACAACCTGTTCTTGGCTTCCTCCCTCCCTTTACTTAGATGGTTCAAAGTTCACCTCCTCTAAGTTTCCAACCATACTATCAACCCCTGCCCCTCCCCACCCTCCCTTCTAGCATTCCTTAACTCCTCATCCAGCTTTTTTTTTAAAATCATGTAACAGTTTCTGAAACCATTTAACCTATCTATCTATCTAGTCTACCTCTTGTTATCACCAGTCTCCTTCTAATACAACTGAAGTTTTATAAGAGTAGGAATTTCTTGTTTTACTGGTGTATCTCCACTGCCTTGAACAGTGCGTGGCATGTGCTCAATAAATATTTGTAGATTCCATTGATTATAATAGAGTCATACATTTCTTGAAGACATGTTGGTGCCCACATGGAAGTTTTGTGACTCTTAAAGGGCATACTCTATATGAATATTGCTACAATACAAGACCAGTGTCTAAAGAATTATATATGGCACTAGTTGCTTCTAACATAGATTGAGTGGCTAACAACATTTTATATCTCAGTTTAAGACTCTTAGATGGTTTTAGAGATTATACCAACTAACGATGTTACTGGTAACTCAGTTTTTGGATTTTATTAATAATTTAGTTATGTAAGTATCCACTTGCCTTCTAAAAGTAGATTTCTATGATACTATTCATTTGTACTGAAAATTAGTGATATAACCGTGCTATTGTAATGAAGTAACAAATGTCAGGCAGTTAGTAGGCCCTCAATAAATATTAGATGAATAAATGGCCTGTTCAAATAATCCAAATAATGTTTCTTAATTAAAAACAGGAAGACACAGTGTTAAATTATATAATAGATAAGAGGCAGAGAATAAAAGAAGTCAAAAAATTCCTTTTAGCGGCAGTGGATCCTCAAATGTCTGCATATTAGAATCACCTGGGCATATTTTAAAATCTCTAAAGGCCTTACCACAACCCACACCAATAAAACCACAATTTTAGAGGGGAAACACAGGCATTAGTAGTTTTTGAAGCTCCAAAGGTGATTCCAATGCACAGATAATTTTGGGGGGACATTTTTAAAAAGAAAACTATTACCTTGCTCTTGGGACAAAGCTTTCAACCTAAAAATTGCTCAGCTCTTTTATATGCTTACAAAACTACTTATGAAATGTGAAACAACTAGCCAATCGATTTTGTACAATTTTGAAAGTTTTATGAGCTTTGAAGGCTTGATGGTTTGCAATGATTAATCTAGGTTATTCTTGAGGCAGTAATATAACAAGTTCAGTATTTCCAAAACAGTGTTCTATGGAACAGTAGTCTTATAAATGCTGTTAATCTAAGAGATCTGTGGTCTCTGTCTTGGGGACTTATTATTCATGTAAAATAGTTCTGAGATGTGTAGTAACAAGGAAAACCTGAATCTCATTTTGAAGTCAGCGTTTTCCAATTCTATTTGAGCAAGAAAAACCCAAGAAACTCTTTATAATTACACTAGTTTGCGTAAGTTTTAAATACCAGGTGTAAACTTAGGAGTCACCAACTGATCCCATCCCATACCCCTCCCAGTCTTTCTATTTGAAAATCCCATGTAACCTTATCCGTTTTCTTAAACTTTCCATGTTCAAAACTAAGCTCCTGTTTATACAGCCCCCTCCCTCAACCCCAACTCAGTCCTCTTTAGAGTTTTCTTTGTCTCTGTTTTATTTAACTGATACTTACATAGTGCTTTTGATATGGCAGACATTCTTCTAAGTGCTTCACATATGATATCTAATCTAATACCCCAAACCATTATTATCATTATTATTGCTCTTATTATCCCTATATTAGAGATGGGGACACTAAGGCAAAGAAAAGGCCTTGCTCTAGAGCTACTCTGTCGCAGAGCTTCCTCTCATTTTCAGGTCATTACTCATTAACCCTTTTCTCAGGACTCCTTCTGAGGGTCACCCCATTTTCCTATTGTTACTTAGGCTTTTCCTATTCTTGCCTTTATTTCTCTCCTTAGCGCTCACCACTATATATTTTACTTAACTTATTTATCATCTGCCTTCTACACTAAAATGTATGTTTTATGATGGCAGGGATTTCTGTCTGTTTTCTTCACTGCTATATCCCCAGTGTCTATAAGAGTGCCTGCAGTCACAGAAAGCTCAAAGAATGTTACTTGAAAGAGTTTTAAAATTTGGCCAGAACACTCGTGTACTGGCAAACATACTCTGGGAATCTGTGGACTAGACTATTATGATTAATAGACAACTTTTATCTTAAGTGAAGATTATTCGGTTTCTCTTATTTCAAGGATATATATACTAGTAGTGCCAAAAAGTTTTGTAATTATGCAATTTTAAAATTCCGTGGCCACAAAAAATTGGGAATCCCTATTCTACTTTTGGTTGATAACTTGGGCTTGTGCTTATTCACTGCCAGTACCACAAATATTAAAAGGTTTTTACCACAGGAGCTGAGTAAATGAAAGGGTAATTCCTTAATCAAATTGTCTATCATACCACAGATAATACAACTTAATAATAATTCTTAAGACATGGTCTCGCTGGAGTGCAATGGCATGATCACAGATCACTATAGCCCTGACCTGGGCTGAAGTGATCTTCCCTCCTGAGCCTCCCAAGTAGCTGGGATGTGACCGACCACAGGCATACGTCATCATGCTCAGCTAATTATTTTATTTTTTGTAAAGATAGGGTCTCACTATGTTGCCCAGGCTAGTCTTGAACGCCTGGGCTGAAGTGATCCTCCAGCCTCAGCCTCCCAAATTGCTGGGATTATAGGTGTGATCCACTGTACTTGGCCTAATAATAATTCCTTAATCCCATATTCAGAGTTTGTGGAGTATCTACAAGATGACAAGCACTGTGCTAAGAATTAATTAAAATTAATTCATATCTAGATTATATGTCCTTAAGGCACACGAAGTTTAAAAATGTCTACGCTAGTTTCAACACAGCTTTGAAAATGCTGCTAAGATGATTTTTACTTATCACTAAAATAAGTAAAAAGCAATTTTTATTAGTAAAAAATCTCCTTGGCAGCTTTTTTACACTCAAAAAAAAAAAAAAAGATTTTTTCAATGTCATTTCTTTTTCTGTGTCCAGTAATTGATTTTTAAATGTTAAACAAATAATTGTATATATTATGATGCAAAGTATGTATACTGTTAATTTTTAACTAACTTATTTAGTGATACGCTACTTATTTTCTAAGGTTACTTATAATTTAAAGTAATAAAAGTGAGTTTTGGTAGAAACATTTGTATTATATATATTCTGTTAAGCCAAATTGATATTTAATATTTGAATTTGAATCACTGAGATATTACTATGTACTTTTCAGTTTTCATCTTAAATTTTGTATTTTAAGATGTGAAACTTAAAAACTGGTATACATACATGGCCAGAATAATTGAATCACAGAAAAGGGTATATATTACAAAAGTAAACTTCCCTACCAGCCTTGACCTCTGGATACCCATATCTCTTCTTCAGAAGAGAGTCCCAGTTTCTGGAGTATCCTTCAGAGATCTGGGTGTTCATTTATAATTTGACTAACTCAACATATTATTGATTTATATTTGACTAGAGGTCTACTATCACCTACAGATACAATGCCTATCTTTAAAATGCTTGTCTAATGAGAGGTGAATTAAATACATGCTTTGTCCAAATGCCAAATTTAGCAGAAGTAGGTATTCAGCTGAAACTGAGATCAAAGATAAATTATCTTCTCCAAAGAAGGAACTTCTGGGATATGTGAATACATCTGATATTAACAAAAATTAGTACTATCATTTTTTATAGGTTGCATTTCAAAAGCTTGATGGATATTCTATTACAAAACCAATGATGTTTCCTTTTTCTCATCATATTTTAATATGGCAAAGTTGACACACTGCTTTCGAGTCTTCCTCTCAAGATGTAAAGAATTGCCAAATAAAACTTTAAAAAAAGACTTAAGAGATAAATGGAATTAAATTCATTTTAATGTTATACATTCTAGTTCACAAAATAATTCTACAAGAATTATAGAGTTATGATACAGTTTAATCTCAATCTTTTTACATTTTTTCAAAAACTAACTCAACATACTCAATATTTTTCTATATATGTAAGTATTTACTAGTTTTTTAAACATAAAATTAACAGCATTCACAGGTAGCTTGGCAGAGTTTTATACCTGCAATAATAAATGTACATTAAAACTTCAATTCAGTGATGAAATTTTAGCACATAAAGCACCAAATAAGATTTTTTCCCCAAGTTACAAATGGAAAACTTTGATATTTGAAAGGGAATACTGACATGGTAATATTTTTGCATGACATGGATTGTTCATATTGGTAGTGTTGTTGCTACAATTACATACAATAGTAATCTATGCAATCACAAGATCATTGATTAAGCAGTAAATCCAGGATGCCAGAAGTAGGCATTTGGCTACTTAGACTTCCATAAGCATAGAATGAAGCCAAAGCCAAACAGCTAATTTTGGCTGAATATTGCGCCCAAAGACTATCTTCGGCACAATTCTAACTTAGCCTAAAAACATTATATTTTATTTCAAATATTTCATTTTTAATTATTATTCAACCACTCTTATTCTGAGAATCTCTAGTTCTATAATGTGTTAATTCAGAAGAATCCAGGCTAGAATCTAGCATTCTCTGTTTGGTCTCTCAAATTGGAAAGGAAAATCTTGTCTTCTAAATAACTTTTATAAATTAAAAAATATGTAAAAACTTGGAGTGACAGAAAATCATCACCACATGTATTCCTATCCATATAGTCATAGTAAATGTGTGAATATATTGTGGATTAGAGTACACAAACGTTTATCGGATGTCACAAACATATCAATGTTTAAAGTTAACTTCATCTTTCCTAACCAATAGACAATTATCCTGGTTCATTAAAATGTTTCACTAAATTTCATTACTAGATAATATATAAACTATGTTATTCATATATTACATAGATTTATAATCAGTATATTATTCAAGATGGAACTATAAATCCATCCTTTCTATTTGACATATGTATGTATATACCTATATACCTATACTTATGTATATATCTATCATCTGTCTGTATACAAACCAAACATATACTTAGGAGATGGAAGTTTACTTGCCTAACTAAAATCCAATATTATAGTAATATTAATGATGACCTTAAATGATTAATATTTAAAATAATTTACACTAAGATGATAAATATAAAACTTTAGAGAGGAATGTAGATAAATCTGCTATTCTACCAAAATTCTTATAATTTTATTATTTCTCATTGTTATATACATATATTTTAATATAATTTAAGAAGCTGTAACTCTAAAAGTAGCATGAAGAAGTTGTGTTAAATTATAGGGACAAATAAAATATGACATAGTTTTAGGTCGAGCACAGTGGCTAATGCCTGTAATCCTAGCACTTTGGGAGGCCGAGGCAGGCGGATCACTTGAGGTCAGGGGTTAGAGACCAGCCTGGTCAACATGGTGAAACCCTGTCTCTACTAATAATATGAAAATTAGCCAGGCGTGGTGGTGGGCACCTGTAATTGCAGCTACTCGGAAAGCTGAGGGAGGAGAATTGCTTGAACCCGGGAAGGCGGAGGTTGCAGTGAACTAAGTTAGCGTCACTGCACTCTAGTGTGGGTGACAGAGTGAGACTCCTCAAAAAAAAAAGAAAAGATACAGTTTTAAAGACACAATGAGAACATCATCCATCATTGCACATTAATCCTACTTGGTTTTTATATGGCTATTTTTCAAGGCTAATCAACCAATCAAAAACCTGGTAAAAAGTGAACTGGAAACTGATAATAAAAATATTCAAAATACTTTTACCTTAACCTCTAACTAAGGAAGAAATGATTCAGGGCTTACACTGTACAACAAATATTTCTTTACTTTTTCCCCACTCTAGTTTTGGGATTCCAGCATAGTACCGTAACGCTAGGTTCCTTTACTGTAGCTGGTGTATTCAACACACAATGAGCCTCCACAATGATATTTTTCACACTTAATCATCTAAATCGTAAAAAACAAGACAATGATGCCGGTTTGTGTGGCTTACATGGCAACAACACAAACTTTGATCGGTGAACCAACTACATTTGTGGCCCTACAATTATTCAGATGGATTTTTTTAACCTATATTAATGAAAACATAGTTGAGTGATTTCATCTTTTTTCCTTTTTAAAATATAAATTTTCTGCTCAAAGACAGATGTTTTCAGATTTACTTTCCTTTCCCTAAATGTTCGCCATTTTCTCATTTTATCTCTCATATATCTTATCAAGGATAAAAACAGAAGAAAAGAGAGAAACAAGGATTCTATGAAAATAAATTTTAATTTGAATTCAGGTAATTTCTATTTGAAAACTATTAGAATGATTATATCATTATAAATTTCATTGTTCAGAGAGATGTTTTTTGCTTGTTTTGAAAGAATGTGGTTTCACAATATGTTTTAAACAAGTTACACTGTGTTTCTATTAGCACATATTTTAAACTTTCTTAAAATGTTTACTTGAATTAATAAAATAAGATTGTGGTAGATCATGCTTTTCTGTTGAGGAAATTCTCATATAATTATATCCTAAATACAGATTTCATTTGAACTTGACTGAAAACAAAAACAATATTTTTTCTGTTTTAGTATAGTTTCTATTGAAGAAATCCATGTTTACACTGAAATAATTTTATAAACTCTTTTCTTTTTTACTTTTTCATGTCTTTAAATTGTATTTATTTTTCTAAAGAAGAATAATTGTGAATAGAACATTCATTGATATAATGACGCTATGATTTATTCCAATTTTCTTTAGAATATTTATTCCAATATTCTTTAGAATAACTCAGAAAAACAGGCTTATTGCCTTGTTTTTCTTTTGCTATTTAAACTTTATCTTTTTTGATTTCCTAGGAGTGCTTCAATCAGGTGAATTAGAAGATTTGAAGTCAAGTGAGAGAGGAAAACCAGGGGGAAAAAAGCCAAAGAGACATTAATTTGATAAATAAAAAGAGAGAACATTACCACGATACTCCTGATTTTCTTTAGTATGTCCTTTAGAATCAGCAAAATGTGCAGCCAATGCTACTACAATATGAACTCCTCTGTGACAAATATAATTAATTTGAATTAATGTACATTTGGATTAATGTTTGTCCCAACAAAATCCAAATGCAAGTTAGAATATCCCTTTATGAAGTGTAATGATATATAACTTACCTGAATTGAGAATTTTAGCACACAGTCATTTGTTTACCATTATTTGTCTTTTATAATTTAAAACTTTCCATTTCCCAAAAGTGAAGGGTTATGAATATGACACACAATTGTATTATCAGAGTACCTCCAAATTTTTCTTACAGAAAAATAAGAATACAGTTGACAGATTTTTTAAAACTATAGTTTACAATACATGCATAGGCAATGTTATTTGAGAGAAAAAAGAATGGATATGTCCTGTGACATAGGATGGGGTTCTACAAAGCTTAACTTGGAATGTGCTCTATAGAAATTCATGAAGCCTCTCTTTAACATGTGGTGATTTCAGTGTGAAGATTAGGAACTTTTATCTTTCTTTTATCAGTTGTCCACCAAACTCCTATCAGCTCACTTAGTTAAATGGACTGCTGTCAGCCTTCCCGGTAATCCAATTCCCTGCAGATCCTCCTGTATATTCAATAGTGCTTGAATTGTGTTGCCCTTATAAATCATTTTGTGCCCATAAGACTAATAAATACACATTTAATATCTAACAAAAACTTGAAAGTTTTACTTCACACTTGAAAGCAGTATATGGTAAAATTTCTGAGCCTCTAGAAAATAGGTCATGCCACCATGTTAACAATCACGTTTTAATAATAAATTTGAAAGTCATAAAAACAAAATTTCTCAAGGTATAAGGCAGAAAGGCCATGAAATGGTAGAAAGTACAAGATTTGAAATGAAGAGTGCACAACATTTTGTATGTACCTTGAGGCAGCGATTGGACAGGAAGTGCTGCCTGGCCAGGTGGAATGGAGATGAGTCCCTGACGCTGAAGGCTGAGCAGATGCTGCTGCTGCTGGAGTTGTTGCATCTGGAGAAGCTGCTGCTGGAAGACAAGCTGCTGGGCTGCCAATTGCTGTTGCTGCTGCTGCTGCTGCTGCTGCTGGTATCAGAAAACCCAAACCAGTAAACAGCAGAGAACATGGTCTGTACAAACAGCTCTCTTACAGGGAAATGCACACTCCTTTCATTGCCTGAGTGGGTTTTTTGGTCATCCCATAGTCAAAGTTCAGGGGCAGAATGTGAGTAAGTTCTAGATTTTCAGTTGCCTTTCTTTCAATTATTAAATCGTGTTAGAGAACCAAGGAACTTGCATCAAAAAAGTATGGAGCAAGGTCTAGAGATAGTATGTAATAAAGGTTCAGCTTTTTAAAATCTACTTATTGTAGATAATAATACATTTCTCTAGATTAAAAGAACACTACTTTACAGAAATAGTCAACTTCTACGACACACTTTTTTTTTTTTTCCAATTGAATAAGTTTGATCTGCAGAGGTCCATGAATGTGGTCTCTGGTGATCTATTAGTAAACTGGGATGTAGCCTTCATAGGATAGGCCTGTTAGCTCTCTCTCTCTTCTCCTCTCTTGTTGGAATATATTAAAGGCAGAATTACGTTCAAGGCAAAATTAAAAAAAAGTGCCCTTATTATAAGAAAAAGTATAACTTCCAATTTTGTGAGGCATTACAAGACAAACCAGAGGTCTTTGGACTCCAGAGGGTATGAGATGGCAGTCACACTTCAGAGAAAGACAAGCTGCTGTGGAAGACCTTTCCTTTTTAGTTTGGGGAAAAGAGAAACTTCTGATGCGCTCACTGGAAAACAGACTGCATAATGGAGCAAGTCATGTGGATTGCCCAAAGCCTCGGGAGAAATAAGGGAGCAATTTCTATTCTGTAGTTGATGGCTGTCTGAAATTCTATTCACAAATCCAAACAGAAACAAAGCCTCAGGAGGTCAAAACTGTTTCCTGTACGTTTGCATAATGGGCAGCTTGAAGACAACGGCTCTGATACCTGCTGATCAATTTAACTACTTCAACATGTTTTGTTTGTATTATGTTTATATTTGATGCAGTTTGCTGACAAGTGCAAGCTAGGCCTGAGAAGCCCGCTTGTCAGTTTGATTTATGAGCATATCAAACTGTAACTTTCTACTCGCCACTCTCAACCTACAGTAGCAGTTCATTAATCAGGGGCCTGTGACTTTGAAATCTGTGCTCAACCAGTTTCTCCCTTAGTCTCCCTATCCCCAACAATAGGCCAAATTTGCATGCATGTTCTCTGAGCTGCACCACTGAGAAAAATAAGGTTCCCTCACCAACTTAGATTCTCCATGAATACAAGATAATCAGTACTTTGTCCACCACACAGCTTGCTCTTTGTACTGTGATTCATTAGTGAACATTAGACGACAGCAGCATTAGATTGTAACTCTCAAGTCCCATGCTACAAAAAAGGAGAGCCTGAGAGCCTATCACTGTTACTAAGCTCAGTAAAAATATATAATACTGCAACTTTGACAGCAAGAGCCTTGTTATAGGAAGATCTAAGACTATTCTTGCCGCTCAAAGCCCCTTCTTAACTGCAAACTGTTATGTATCAATGAGATAACCGGATCCTACCTCTTTCGCTTGCTTTCCAGGATGCTGTTGCTGCTGCTGCTGCTGTTGCTGCTGCTGCTGCTGTTGTTGCTGCTGTTGTTGTTGTTGTTGCTGCTGCTGTTGTTGCTGCTGTTGTTGCTGCTGCTGCTGTTGCTGCTGCTGCTGCAAAAGCTGAAGATGTAACTGCTCTTGCTGTTTCTTGTAAAACTCTTGTAGTTGTTGCTGAATAAACCATTTTGACTTTAATAAATAAAGGCAAAAGTTTCACGTATTATAAATCTCCTAAACTCTTCTAGACTGGCATATGGCAGAGTATCCATTAAGATTCATCCCATAAAAACAACAAAAAATATACATTGGATTCAAAGAGACAGCTCTACATACATTTTTTTCCAAGGCAGCTCTGAAATTTTCCAATCCAGAATCCAAAAAATCCTAAACAAAAGGGTATAGAAAGTCTGTATTCTAAAGGGTCAGAGCCAAATTAATACTTTAAATTATTACATCTGAAGTCCTACTGACACATAAAAACTAGGCTATACTCTACCAGTTGTAAGAATAAAAATTTAGCTACATAAAATCAGGTTGCTCAATTCTTATTGGAAAAAACTTAATCCATCAGATGTTCAGAACAATGTCAGATTTACAAGTAATTGGTCTGTAGTCATCAGCACAGAAGTTAGCAAAGTAATTATATATAAAAAATTTCAGGTAAAGCACATTATTTTCTCTCTAATAAGTAAGTGTATAATATAAAGTCTATATACACTCAGGGTTCCGATATGGTATTTATTAGGAACACTATGTTTGTTATTTTAAAAAGATAAATTTCATAAATTTGTGGCTCAGCTGCCTAATTTCATTATAATAAATAGATTCTTCTCTTTCTAAACGATGAGTATACTATGAAAAGGAAAATCTGGGATGTTACTTTCTCCATTTTAACAAAGTGGTCTATTCAAATTTCATACTTTTGTGAACTAAAAGGAATGCTAAGGTGTTAGGAGTTTTAAAAGCAACTATTATCTGGTAAGTATTTTTGCATTTTTTTGGCAAGTCAACAAATTGAATGTACCTAAGCATTTGAATATTTAAATATTGGCTCATTCCATTTTCAAATTACACCTCTCTCTGCTCTTATTCTAGACTTTAATAATTTTTTTAAAAAAATAAGCAATCTAGATTTTCTTACGAGTTCTATAATTAAAATGTTACATTTATGTTCTAGCACGCTAATAGGTTGTCCTTTCAAATGGAGACTGAATTGTCAAATATGCCCACTGCACTTTCAAAATAAGTGCACACCTTCTAAGTCATGCTAGAACACCAAAGCAGGTAACCCACATTACCTGCTGCAGCATGACAGCCTGCTGTTGTTGGAGAAGGGCTTGTAGCTGCTGAGGAGACAGGACTTGTTGCTGAAGGATCTGCTGCATTTGCTGAGGGGTGATCACCTGGGGAGTCATCATGGCCACTGACACAGGCACCTTGCACAGAAAGAGAAAGAGAAAGAAAATTCGTGGTCATAACCAAATATCTGTTAATCAACTTCACAAATAGTATGTTATCTTTTATAAATTCTTTAGCATTGATGATCAATAATTTTTACGTCACATTTTACTATAACTTCTTTACAATAGTACTAAAGTATCACAAAACATAGACACTAGCTTTCCAGAGGCATCAGATTTCATCAAACTCTTTATGTTCCATAGCTCTTATTTAACATGCTTAGATATTTGAATTTCGGCTATAATATCTATAGTTAAAAATAAACAACCACATGGTGGTGTTCTCAATATTTCATAATTGATCATCTCATCAATGTCACTGTGCTATAAATACAAAGGTTTTTGAAATGTCTTAAGTGTAATTAAAATAAATATTAAAGATTAAAAAATTGGAAATATGCATATAAATGTTATCTAAACTAGTAAAAAGCATGTATACAGTATACTTACTTAAAAATATAATCATCATCTTCAAAATTTTATATACACATGATAAAGTACTAGAAAATAAATATAGTAATAAA